>NC_000023.11:80341329-80644360 GCF_000001405.40 Homo sapiens | reverse complement strand
TGTGAGACTTTGCATTGGAACGCAGTGCTGCCCTGTCAGAAGGCAACACTGGACAGAACTCAGATGGTGTCCATGGAGGGAGCATCTAGATCAGTCCTAGCCAGAGGGGAATCGTCCATCCCAGTGGTCAGAACCTGAGTTCCAACAAGCCTTGCCACTATGGACTAAAGGGCTCTGGGGTACTAAATAAACTTGAAAGGCTCTCAAAGCCACAAGTACTGCAATTCTTGGGAAAGTCCTGCTGCCATGCTGGGCTCAGAGCCAGTGGACTTGGGATAACATGACTCAGTGAGACATCAGCTGGGTCATCGAAAAGAGTGCTTGTGCCACCCCTTCCCCAACCCTAGGTAGCACCGCTCCAAGAGAGATTCTTTCTTTCTACTTGAGAAGAGGAGAGGAAAGGTTAAAGAGGACTTTGTTTTTTGGTTTTTAATTTTTAATTTTTTTATTTCAATAGATTTTTGGGGAACAGGTGGTGTTTCGTTACATGAATAAGTTCTTCAGAGGTGATTTCTGAGATTTTGGTGCACCCATCATCCAAGCAGTGTACACTGTACCTAATGAGTGGTCTTTTATCCCTCACCACCACCCTCCATTTTCCCTGAGTCCCCGTAGTCCAATGTATCATTCTTATGCCTTTCCATCCTCATAGCTTAGCTCCCACATATGCATGAGAACATACGACCTTTGTTTTTTCCATTCGTGAGTTACTTCACTTAGAATGATTGTCTCTAATTCCATCCAGGTTACTGCAAATGCCATTATTTCATTCCTTTTTATGGCTGAGTAGTATTCCTATATATATACACACACACATATATACATATGTATATATGCATACATACATATGCATACATACACGTATACATATATATGCATACGTGTATGTATACATATATATGCATACATGTATGTGTATATATGTATATATATGTATATGTATATATGTATATATGTATATATATACACACACATACATACACACACACACACATATATATATGGCACATTTTCTTTATCCACTTGTTGACTAATGGGCATTTGAGCTGGTTCCATATGTTTGCAATTGCAAATTGTGTTGCTATAAACGTGTGTGCAAGTATCTTTTTCATATAATGACTTCTTTTCCTTTGGGTAGATACCTAGTAATGGGATTGCTGGATTAAATGGTGTATCTACTTTTAGTTCTTTAAGGAATTCCAACAGTGTTTTCCACAGTGGTTGTATTAGTTTACATTCCCACCAACAGTGTAAGTGTTCCGTTTTCACTGCATCCATGCCAACATCGATTATTTTTTGATTTTCTGATTATGGCTATACATGCAGGAGTGAGGTGGTATTGCATTTTGGTTTTGATTTTCATTTCCCTGATATTTAGTGATGTTTGGCATTTTTACATATGCTTGTTGGCCATTTGTATATCTTATTTTGAGAATTGTCTATTCATATCCTTAGCCCACTTTTTGATGGGATTGTTTGTTCTTTTCTTGCTTTGTTTGGGTTCTTTGTAGATTCTGGATATTAGGCCTTTGTTGGATGTATAGATTATGAAGATTTTCTCCCACTCTGTGGGTTTTCTGTTAATTCTGCCAATTATTTCTTTTGCCGTGCAGAAGCTTTTTAGTTTAATTAAGTCCCATTTATTTATCTTTTTTTTTTTTTTTTTTTTTTTTTGCATTTGCTTTTGGGTCCCTGGTAATGAAATCTTAGCCTAAGCCAATGACCAGAAGTATTTTTCCAATGTTATCTTCTAGAATCTTTATGGTTTCAGGTCTTAGATTTAAGTCTGACTCATCTTGAGATGACTTTTATATAAGGTGAGAGATGACGATCCAGTTTCATTCTCCTACATGTGGCTTGCCAATTATTTCAGCACCATTTGTTGAATAGGATGTCCTTTCCCCACTTTATGTTTTTATTTGCATTGTTGAAGATCATCGGCTGTAACTATTTGGCTTTGTTTCTGGGTTCTCTATTCTGTTCCATTGGTCTACATGCCTGTTTTTATACCAGTACCATGCTGTTTTCGTGACTATGGCCTTATAGTATAATTTGAAGTCAGGTAATGCAATATCACCAGATTTATTTTTATAGCTTAGACTTGCTTTGGCTATGCAGGCTCTTTTTTGGTTCCATATAAATTTTAGGATAATTTTTTCTAGTTCTGTGAAGAATGATGGTGGTATTTTGATGGGAATTGCATTGAATTTATAGATTGCTTTTGGCAGTATGGTCATTTTCACAATATTTATTCTACCCATCCATGAGCATTGGATTTGTTTCCCTTTGTTTGTGTTATCTATTACTTCTTTCAGCAGTGTTTTGTCGTTTGCCTTGTAGAGGCCTTTCATATCCTTGGTTAGGTATATTCCTAAGTATTTTATGTTTTTTGCAGCTATTGTGAAAGAAGTTGAGTTCTTGATTTGGTTCTCAGCTTAGTTGCTGTTTGTGGATAGCAGAGCTACTGATTTGTGTACATTAATTTTGTATCCTAAGTTTGCTGAATTTATCTATCAGTTCTAGGAGCTTTTTGAATGAGTCTCAGGGTTTTCTAGGTATACAATCATATCATCAGTGAATGTGACAGTCTGACTTCCTCTTTATCTATTAGGATGCCCTTTATTTCTTTCTCTTGTTTGATTGCTCTGTCTGGGACTTCCAGTACAATGTTGAATAGAAGTGGTAAAAGTGGACATCCTTGTCTTGTTCTAGTTCTCAGTGGGAATGCTTCCAACTTTTCCCCTTTTATTAGAATGTTGGCTGTGCGTTTGTAATGGATGGCTTTTACTACCTTAAAGTATGTCCCTTCCATGCCAAATTTGCTGAAGGTTTTAGCCATAAAGAGATGTTGCATTTTGCCAAATGCTTTTTCTGAGTCTATTGAGATGGTCACATGATTTTTGTTTTAAATTTTGTTGAAGATTTTTGCATCTATGTTAATTAGGGATATTGGTCTGTAGTTTTTTGTTGTTGTTATGTCATTCCACGGTTTTGATATTAGCGTGATACTGGCTTCATAGAATGATTTAAGAAGGACTCCCTTTTTCTCTATCTTTTGGAATAGTGTCAACAGAATTGGTACCAATTCTTCTTTGAATATCTGATAGAATTGAGCTGCAACTTGGTCTGGTCCTGAACGTTTTTTTGTTGGCAATTTTTACTATTTCAGTCTCACTGCTTGTTATTGGTCTGTTCAGAGATTCTATATCTTCCTGGTTTAATCTAGAAGGGTTATATATTTCCAGAAATTTATCTATCTCCTCTAGGTTTTCTAGTGTTTATAGTAGCCTTGAAAAATCTTTTGTATTTCTGTGGTATCATTTGTAATATCTCTCGTTTCATTTCTAATTGAGCTTATTTGAATCTTCTTTTCTTGGTTAATCTTGCTAATGGTCTATCAATTTTATTTATTTTTTCAAAGAACCAGCTTTTTGATTCATTTGTCTTTTGTATTGTTTTTGTTTGTATGTTTCAATTTCATTTAGTTCTTCTCTGATCTTTGTTACTTATTTTTTTCTGCTAGGTTTGGGTTTGGATTGTTCTTGCTTTATTCAGTTCTGTGAGGTGTGACCTTAAATTGTCTATTTGTGCTCTTTCAGACTTTTTGATATGGACATTTAATGCTACGAACTTTCTTCTTAGCACCACTTTGCTGCATCCCAGAGGTTTTGATAGCTTGTGTCACTATTATTGTTCAGTTCAAATAATTTTTAAATTTCCATCTTGATTTCATTGTTGACCCAATGATCATTCAGGAACAGGTGATTTAATTTTCATGTATTTGAATGGTTTTGAGGGTTCCTTTTGGAGTTTTTTTCCAATTTTATTCCACTGTAGTCTGAGAGAGTACTTGATACAATTTTGGCTTTGTTAAATTTACTAAGACTTTTTTAGTGGCCTACTATATGGTCTATCTTGGAGAATGTTTCATATGCTGATGAATAGAATGTATATTCTGCAATTGTTGGGTAGAATGTTCTGTAAATATATGTTAAGTCCATTTGTTGTAGGGTATAGTTAAATTCCATTGTTTTTTCTTTGACTTCTTGTCTTGATGGACTGTCTAGTGCTTTTGGTGGAGTATTGAAGTCCCCCACTATTATCGTGTTGCCATCTATCTCATTTCTTAGGTCTAGTAGTAATTGTTTTACAAATTTGCGAGTGCCAGTATTAGGTGCATATATATTTATAACTCTGATAATTATCTATTTGACTAGTCCTCTTATCATTATATAATGTCCCTTTTTGTCTTTTTAACTGCTGTTGCTTTAGTTTGTTCTGTCTAAGAATAGCTACTCCTGCTTGCTTTTGGTGTCCATTTGCATGGAATGTCTTCTTCCACCACTTTACCTTAAGTTTGTGTAAGTCCTTATGCATTAGGTGAGACTCTTGAAGACAGCAGAAACTTGGTTGGAGAATACGTATCCATTCTGCCATTCTGTATCTTTTCAGTGGAGCATTTAGGCCATTTACATTCAATGTTAATATTGAGATGTGAGGTACTATTATACTCATCATGCTATTTGTTGCCTGAACACCTTGTTTTTTTTTCATTGTGTTATTGTTATATAGGTCCTGTGAGATTTATGCTTTAAAGAGGTTCTATTTTGGTGTATTTTGAGGACATGTTTCAAGACTTAGAGCTCCTTTTAACAGTTATTGTAGTGCTAGCTTGGTAGTGATAAATTCTGTCTGCATTTGTTTGTCTGGAAAAGAATGTATCTTTCCTTCATTTATGAAGCTTAGTTTGGCTGGACACACAATTCTTGGATGATAATTGCTTTGTTTAAGGAGGCTAAAAATAGGACCCCAATCCTTTCTAGCTTGTAAGGTTTCTGCTGAGAAATCTGCTGTTAATCTTATAGGTTCTCCTTTATAGGTTACATGATCCTTTCACCTCACAGCTCTTAAGATTCTTTTCATCTGGACATGATGGATTAAGCCTGTGCACGATGGATTATGCCTGGGCATGATGGATAATGCCAGCACTTTGGGAGGCCAAGGCAGGTGGATCACTTTAGGTAACAAATTCAAGATCAGCCCAGCCAACATGGTGAAACCCTGTCTCTACTAAAAACACAAAAATTAGCCAGACATGGTGGCGTGCACCTGTAATTTCAGCTACTTGAGAGGCTGAAGCATAAGAATCACTTGAACTTGGGAGGCAAAGGTTGCAGTGAGCTGAAATTGTGTCATTGCACTCCAGTCTGGTTGGTTGATGGAGTAAGACTCTGTCAACAACAACAAAAAAAAGCAAAGATATTTTCCTTTCCTTCATCTTGACTCTAGATAACCTGATGACTATGTACCTAGGCAATGACCTTTTTGTGATGAACTTCCTTTCAAAGGTGTTCCTTGAAACTTCTTGTATTTGGATGTCTAAATCTCTAGCAAGGCCAGGGAAGTTTTCCTTGATTATCCCCTCAAAAATGTTTTCAAAACTTTTGGATTGCTCTTTTTCTCTGGGAACAGCAATTATTCTTAAGTTTGGACATTTAACATAGTCCCAAACTTCTTGGAGGCTTTGTTCATTTTTAAAAAATTCTTTGTCTTTGACAAATAGGGTTAATTTGAAAGCCTTGCCTTTCAGCTCTGAACTTCTTACTTCTGCTTGTTCTCTTCTATTACTGAAACTTTCCAGTGGATTTTGCATTTCTCTAAGTGTGTCCTTGATTTCCAGAAGTTGTGATTGTTTTGTATTTCTATTATCTGTTTCACTGAAGAATTTTCCTTTCATATCCTGTATCATGTTTTTATTCCTTTAAGTTGGACTTCACCTTTCTCTGGTACCTCCTTGATTAGCTTAATTGACTTTCTGAATTCTTTTTCTGGCATTTCAGAGATTTTGTCTTGGTTTGGATCTACTGCTCATGAGCTAGTATGATCTTTTGGGGGTGTTAAAGAACCTAGTTTTGTCATATTACCAGAATTGTTTCTCTGGTTCCTTCTCATTTGGGTAGACTATGTCAGAGTGAAGATCTGGGACTCAAGTGCTGCTGTTCAGATTCTTTTGTCCCACAGCATGCTCCCTCAATATGTTGTTCTCCCCCTTCCCCTAGGAATGGGGCTCCCTGAGAGCCAAACTGTAGTGATTGTTATTCCTCTTCTGGGTCTAGCCACCCAGCAGAGCTACTGGGCTCTGGGCTGGTACTGGGGAGTGTCTGCAAAGAGTCCTGTGATGTGATCCATCTTCAGGTCTTGCAGCCATGGATACCAGCACTTGCTCTAGTGGAGGTAGCAGGAGAGTGAAGTGGATTTTTTGAGGGTCTTTGGTTGTGTTTTTGTTTAGTGCACTGGTTTTGTGTTGGTTGGCCTCCAGCCAGGAGGTGGCACTTTCAAGAGTGTATCAGCTGTGGTCAGTTTTTCGGCATCTCAGGGAGCCTGCAGCAGTGATCCAGTTCCTTCAAAGGGTCTGTGGATTCTCTTGGCTTTTCTGGTATTTTCCTGCAGTAGTTCTTGAAGCAAAAGTTCATGATGTGAATCTCCACATGCTGCTCTGTGCATTCGAGTGGGAGTTGCAAGCTAGTCCTGACTCCTGTTCGTCATCTTCCACCGTAAAGAGGACTTTGTTTTGCAACTCGGATACCAGCTCATCCACAGTAGGATAAGGTACCAGGCAGAGCCCTGAGACTCACATTCTAGGCTCTAGCTCCCAGATGACATTTACGGACACATCCTGGGCCAGAAGAGAACCTGCTGCCTTGAAAGAATTACTCAGTCCTGGCACAATTCATTACCTGCTGACTAAAGAGGCCTTGGGCCCTAAATAATTAGCAGTGGTACCCAGGCAGTACTTACTGTGGGCTTTGAGTGAGACTCAGAGACATGCTGGCTCCAGATGTGACCTAGCACATTCCCAGCTCTAGTGGCTGTGGCAGCAGGGATGATTTCTGCTTGAGAAATGAACAAGGATGAGTAAAAAGGGACTTTGTCTTGTAGCTTAGGTACCAGTTCAGCCACAGTGGGGTAGAGTACCAAGCAAGCATTTGGAGTCCCCAGTTCCAGGTGTTGGCTCTTGGACAGCATTTCTGGAGCTTCCCTGGGCCAGAAGGGAGCCCAGGCTTGGCAGCATTCACCATAAGCTGACTGAAGAGACCTTAGTTCTTGAATGAACATCAGTGGTACCCAGGCAGTATTTGCCATGGGCCTGGGTTGGTGGTGGCCATGGGGAGAGACATTTCTGCTTATGGAAAGGACCAGAAAGAGAGCAAAGGTCCTTGTCTTGTGGCTTGGGTGCCAGCTCAGCCATAGTAGAATGCAACACCAGGTAGATTCCAAAGTTTTTAAACTCTAGGCCCTGGGTCCTGGACAGCCTCTCTGGACTCACCCGAGACCATGGGGGACTCACCACCCTGAAGGGAAAGACACAAGCCTGGTTGGCTTTGCCACTTGCTGACTGTAGAGCCATAGGGCCTTGAGCAAACATTTGCTGTAGCCAGGCAGGGGTTATGATAGAATTTGTGCAAGACACAGTGCTCTGCTAGATTCATGTCTGAGTCAGCACTGTCTCAGTGGTGGACACAAGAGTGCTTGTGTCACTTCTACCCCAGCTCCAGACAGCGTAGCACAGAAAGAGGGACTCTGATCATTTGAGAGAAAGTAAAGGAAGAGAACAAGAGACTCTTCCTGGTAATGCAGAGAATTCTTTTGGATCTTATTCAAGATCACCAAGGTTGTACCTCTATGAGTCTATAAGCCACAGTGTTACTGAGCTTGGGATTCCTCTTAATGGGGATATGGCTGCAGTGACCAAAAATTTAGATCACCACACTCAACCCTCAACCCCTATTTTGAGACAGGGTCTCCCTCTGTCACCCAGGCTGGAGTGCAGTGGTGTGATCTCAGCTCACTGTAACCTCCACCTCCTGAGCTCAAGTGATCCTCCCAACTCAGTCTCCCAAGTAGCTGGGGCTACAGGCATGCACCACTATGCCTGTCTACTTTTTTTGTATTTTGTAAATACAGGGTTTCACCATGTTGTCTATGCTAGTCTCAATCTACTGGATTCAAGAAATCCACCCACTTCTGCCTCCTAAAGTGCTGGGATTACAGGTGTGAACCACCACTCATGGCCTCAAGGCCCTTAGAATATCTGGAAAGCCTTCCCAAAAAGATAGGTACAAACAAGCTTAAACTGTGAAAACTAGAATAAATACCTAATTATTTAATGTCTAGATACCAGTGAACATTAACAAGCATCAAGACCATTCAGGAAAACATGCCCTCACTAAATGAACTAAATATGGCACCAGGGATAAATCCTGGGGAGACAAAGATGTGTGACATTTCAGACAGATAATTCAAAATAGCTGTATTGAGGTAATTCAAATAAATTCAAGATAACACAGAGGAGGAATTCAGAATTCTATCTGATACATTTAACAAAAAGATTATAGTAATTAAAAAGAATCAAGAATAAATTATGGAGCTGAAAATGCAATTGGCATACTGAAGAATGCATTAGAGTCTTTTAATAGCAGGCTTGATCAAGCAGAAGAAAGAATTAGTGAGCTTAAAGACAGACTATTTGAAAATACACAGAGGAGACAAGAGAAAAAGAATAAAAAGCAATGAAGCATGCCTACTGGATCTAAAAAATAGCCTCAAAAAGGCAAATCTAAGAATTATTGGCCTTTAAGAGGAGGTAGAGAAAGAGGTAGGTGTAGCAAGTTTATTCAAAGGGATAGTAATAGAGAACTTCTCAAATCTAGAGAAAGCTATCAATATCCAAGTACAAGAAGTCTATGAAACACCAAGCGGACTTAACGCAAAAAAGACTACCTCAAGGCATTTAATATTCAAACTTCCAAAGGTCAAAGATAAAGAAAGAATCCTAAAAGCAGCAAAAGAAAAGAAACAGCATGCAAATAAACTCCAATTAAGTCTGGCATCAGACTTCTCAATGCAAACTTTATAGGCCAGAAAGAGGGGCATGACATTATTTAAGTGCTGAAAGAAAAAAACTTTTAGTCTAGAATAGTAAATCCAACAAAATTATTCTTCAGACATAAAGGAGAAATATTTTCCCAGACAAAAGCTGAAGAATTTCAACACCAGACCTGTGCCACAAGCAATGCTAAAGAAAGTTCTTCAATCTGAAAGAAAATAATGTTAATGAGCAAAAAGAAATCAGCTGAAATTACAAAACTCACTGTTAATAGTAAATACACAGAAAAACACAGAATATTATAACACTGTAATTGTGTTGTATAAACTATTCATATGTTGAGTAGGAAGACTAAAAAATGAACTTACTAAATATAAAAACTACAATATCATTTAAAGTCATAGACAGTACGATAAGATAGAAACAACAAAAAGTTAAAAGTGTGAGTACTAAGATAAAGTGTAGAGTTTTTATTAGTTTTCTCTTTGCTTGTTTGTTTATGCAAACAAGCATAACAAAACTGTGTTTTCATTAGTTTAAAATAATCATTATATTTCCAAGACTCACGGTAACCTCAAATCAAAAAACATACAACAGATACACAAAAAATAAAAAGTAAGAAATTAAAGGATACCATCAAAGAAAATTACCTCCACTAAAAAGCAAGTCAAGAAGGAAAAGAAGAAAGAGAAGACCACAAAACAACCACTAAACAAATAACAAAATGGCAGGAATAAGTACTTACTATTAATAATAACATTGAATGTAAATGGGCTAAATTATCCAATCAAAAGATACAGCATGGCTCAATAAATTTTTTAAAAAAGACCTAATGATCTTTTGCCTACAAGAAACATATGTCACCTATAAAGAAACACATGCTGAAAAATAAGGGATGGAAAAAGACATTCTATGCAAATGGAAACCAAAAAAGAGCAGGTGTCAGTATACTTAGACAAAATAGATTTTAAAACTAAAACTATAAAAAGAGACAAAGGAGGTCATAATATAATAATAAGGTGGTCAATCCATCAAGAAGATATCATAATTGTAAATATATATACACCCAATATTGGAGCACTCAAATACATAAAGCAAATATTATTTGACCTATAGAGACAGATCCTAATACAATAATAGCTGGAGACTTCAACACCCCACTTCCAGCATTAGACAGATCAACCAGACAGAAAGTCAATAAAGAATTATCAGACTTAATCTGCATTATAGACCAAAGAGACCTAATAGATATTTAAATAATATTTAATCCAATGGCTGCAAAATACACATTATTCTCCTCAGCACATGGATTATTCTCAAGGATAGACCACCTTTTAGGCCAGAAAACAAGTCTTAAAATATTCAAGAGAATTGAAATTATATCAATCATCTTTTCTGACCACAATGAAATACAACTAAAAATCAGTAATAAGAGGAATATTGGAAACTATACAAATACATGCAAATTAAACAATGTGCTCTGAATGGCTAGTGAGTCAATGAAGTAATTAAGAATGAAATTAAAACATTTCTTAAAACAAATGATAATAGAAACACAACATACCAAAGGCTATGGAATACACCAAAAGCAGTACTAAGAGGAAAGTGTATAGCTATAAGTGCCTACATAAAATATAGGAAAACGTAAAATAAATATAATGATGCATCTTAAAGAACTAGAAAAGCAAGAGCAAAACAAGCCTAGTATTAGAAGAAAAGAAATAATACAGATCAGAGCAGAAATGAATGAAATTGAAATGAAGAATACAATATTAAATATCAACAAAATGAAAAGTTGGCTTTTTCAAAAGATAAATAAAATTGACTAAGACAAAAAGAGAGGACCCACAAAAAGAAAATCAGAGATGAAAAAGGAGACATTACAACTGATATTACAGAAAGTCAAAAGATAATTAAAAGCTTTGGTGAGCAACTATATGCCAATAAATTGGAAATCCTAGAAAAACTGATAGACCCCTAGACACACACAAGCTACCAATATTTAACCATAAAGAAATCCAAAAGCTGAGTAGACGAATAACAACAAATGATTTCAAAGACATAATACAAAGTCTTGAAGAAAACAAAATGTGGGGATCTGATGGCTTCACTGCTGAAGTTTTTCAAACATTTTAAGAAATAAAAAGATGCCAATCCTACTCAAATTATTCTAAAAAGCAGAGGAAGAGGGAATACTTCCAAACTCATTCTATGAGGCCAGCATTACCCTGATACCAAAACAAGACAAAAACACCTCAAAAAAAAGAGAAAAACTACAGACCAACATCTTCGATGAACATCAACGCAAAAATCCTCAGCAAAATACTAGCCAACTGAATTCCACAATATATTAAAAATATGATTAAATATGACCAAGTGGGATTTATCCCAGAGATAAATGGATGGTTCAAGATATGCAAGTCAAGCAGTGTGATACATCATATCAACAGAATGAAGGACAAAAACCATATTACCATTTCAATTAATGCTGAAAAAGCATGTGATAAAATTCAGCATCCTTTCGTAATAAAATACCTCAAAAAACTTGGTATAGAAGGAACAGCCTCAACATAATAAAAGTACGACAAACCACAGCTAGTATTATAATGAACGGGGAAAACTGAAAGCCCTTCCTCTAAGGTATGCAACAAGAAAAGTATATCCACTTTCACCAGTTATTCAATATAGAACTGAAAGTTATAGATACAGCAGTCAAATGAGAGAAAGAAATAAAGGGCATCCAAATTCAAAAAGAAGCAGCCAAATCATCCTTGTTTGCAGATATAATCTTTTATTTGGAAAAACCTAAAGACTCAAACAAAAAACTATTTAGAGCAGATAAACAAGTTTAGTAAATTTGCAGGGTACAATATGAACATATAAAATCAGCATTTCTGTATGCCGACAGCGAACAACCTAAAAAAGAAAATCAAGATATTAATCCCATATACAATAGCTACAAATAAAATATATGAGAATTAACCAAAGATGTGAAAGATCTCTACAATAAAAACTATAAAATACTGATGCAAGAAATTGAAGAGGGTCCAAGAAAATGAAAATATATTTCATGTTCATGTATTGGAAGAATCAACACTGTTAAAATGTCTTAATACCCAAAGCAAGGTACATATTCAATGTAAGCCCTATCAAAATGCCAATTAAATTCTTTACAGAAATAGAAAAAATAATCCAAAAAGTATACGGAACCACAAAAGACCCACAATAGCAAAAGCTATCCTGAGCAAAAAGAACAAAACTAGAGAAATCACATTACCTGACTTCAAATTATACTACAGAGCTATAGTAACCAAAACAGCAGGGTACTCGCATAAAAACAGGCACATAGTGAATGAAATAGAATAGAGAACCCAGAAACAAATGTATATATTTACAGTGAACTCATTTTTGACAAAAGTGCCAAGAATACATTGGGGAAAGGACAGTCTTTTCAATAAAGAGTGCTGGGAAAACTGGTTATTTATATGTAGAAAAGTGAAACTAGACCTCTATATTTTTCCATACACTGGAATCAAATAAAAGTGAATTAAATACTTAAATCTAAGACCTCTAACTATGAAACCACTTAAAGAAAACACTGGGGAAACTTTCCAGGACATTGGACTCTGTTTTTTGAGTAATACTCTACAAACACAGCCAACCAAAGCAAAAATGGACAAATTGGATCACATCAAGTTAAAAAGCTTCTGCAAAATAGAAGAAACAATCAACAAAGTGAACAGACAACCCACAGAATGGAAGAAAATATTTGCAAATTATCAATCTGACAACTCTATAGGAAAAAATATTTAATCAGATCAAAAAATGGACAAAATATTTGAATAAGCATTTCTCAACAGAAGATATACAAATGTTAAACAGGCATATGAAAAGGTGCTCAGTATCATTGATCATCAGAAATGCAAATAAAAACTACAATAAAATATTATCTCCCTCTGGTAAAAATGCCTTTTTTTCAATAAGACAGGCAATAACAAATGCTGGCAAGGATATAGGAAAAAGGTGGGAATGTAAATTAATACAACCACTATGGAGAACAGTTTGGAGGCTCTGCAAAAAACTAAAAATAGGACTACCACATGATCCAGAAATCCCACTGCTAGGTATATGCCCAAAAAGAAAGAAATTAGTATATTGAAGAAATATCTGCACTCACTTGTTTATTGCAGCACTATTCACAATAGCCAATATTTGGAAGCAATCTAAATGTTCATCAACAGAAGTATTAAGAAAGAAAATTTGGTAATATACACAATGGAGTACTATTCAGCCATAAAAAGAATGAGATCTTGTCATTTGTAACAACATGGATTGAATTGGCAGTCGTTATGTTAAGTGAAATATGCCAGACAGAGAAAGACGAACTTCACATGTTCTCACTTATTTGTAGAAATTAAAAATTCAAACCATGGAACACATAGAGATAGAGAGTAGAATGATGGTTACCAGAGGCTGGGAAGTGTAGTGGGGTGGGAGGGAATGAGGATGGTTAATTGGTACAAAATATTATATAGTTAGATAGAATAAATGAGATATAGTAGTTGATAGTACAACAGAGTTACTACAGTCAACAATAATTTATTGTACATTAAAAATAACAAAAAGAGTATAATTGCATTATTTGTAACACAAAGAAAAGATAAGTTCTTGAGGTGATTGACACCCCATTTACCCTGATATGATTATTACACATTATATGACTATGAAAATATCTCATGTACTCCATAAACATATACACATACTATATACCTACAAAAATAAAAATTAAAAACTGGGAAAAACAAGTGTGAAATAAACACCTCTGAATAATTTACCCCAATAGACCTTCACTAAAGGAACTTCTAAAGAATATAGTCCAGTATATCCTTTAGAATGAAAGTAATCCCAGAAGGAAAGTCAGTGATGCAAGAAGGAATGACGATCAAGAAATTTGGTAAATAATTAGATAAGTATAAATAAGCAGTTTGCAAAATTAAAAATAATGTCTAATTTGTGGCATTTTAAAATGACAGAAAATCAATAATTTAGAAAGCATGCAATTAGAGTAAACATATTTTAAAGTTTATTTCTTATTCAAGTAGGCAGTTAAAATATTTTTTACTATATTTTCTTTATCTAATTCACCAATAACTGCCATTTTTAGAACGTAATGACTACTTTGGAACATCTGGATAGCAATTTATGGCTTGATTCCACTTGCCTACAAAGAGCTGAGTAAATAGAATGTTTGGACCACTGTGTCCTCCTACACAGAGTTAAGCTGCAGGTGGAATAAGATTGCAGAGTTCTGCAGACCACCTTCGCATCAATGCACTAAATCCCCTAACTGGAGAGGGATATGCTTACATTCTAAGCATTCTCTGAGATTCACCTAGCTTTCTTTGTGGTCCCATTTGAAGCAATGATTCTCAAATCTGACCGTACTTTAATCACCTGAAAAATGTTGAAAACTACAGGTGACTGGGCCCTTCTCCAGATCAATTAAATCAGAATCTAATGGTGGAGCAGGAAGCGGTTGTTATCCTCAGACTTAACCTTTGAAAAGATTGTGAAATTGTCTATCTCCCCTTTCCATCTCCTTCTTGAGGAGTCAAGGCTCCATTATCTACCTGGGACTGCCTTTCTTCCATAGCTGCTACTATCTGAACCTGTCACTGTCCCATCAAAGCCTACCTATCTGTCATCCTATTCCCTCAATTCTAACAAATAATTAATTTTTTTTTTTTTGACAGAGTCTCACTCTGTGGCCCAGGCCGGAGTACAGTGGTGCCATCTCGATCTTGGCTCACTGCAACAAGCGATTCTCGATTCTCGTGCCTCAGCCACCCGAGTAGCTGGGATTACAGGTAGGCGCCACCATGCCAGCCTAATTTTTGTATTTTTAGTAGAGAAAGGGTTTCGTCATGATGGCCAGGCTGGTCTCTAACTCCTGGCCTCAAGTGATCTGTCCGCCTCGGCCTCCCAAAGTGCTGGGATTACAGGTATGAGCCACCGCGCCGGGCCCATAACTGACTAATCTGAAGTACTGTGTCACAACAAGGTATTAGTGGCTGGAAATGCCTTAGCAGTTACTTTGAAGAGAGAAGAGGAAGTTGTAGTTTAACAGGGAATATTCAATAACAGAGAATTTAAACTCAATGGAGTGAATCTGTAAGAGAGAAATTTTAGGCATTTTGTCAAGAGATGCATGAGAGATAACTGAGTTAGGAACACTAGCAAGAACATCTTTGCTAGTATGGGGCCCATCAGCAACCATTCATTATCTTTCACTTTTTTTCATCTTCCTTCTCTCACTCATTCCATTCTGTTAAATAACTGCATTGCTATATTTTCAAGTGAAGAAGGTCATAGTCACAGCTTAAATTATACACAAGCAGAAAAGGTAACTTCCTCCAGGTAAGTGAGGGACTTTGGTCAATAACAGAAAATTTAAACTCAAAGGAGTGAATCTTTAAGGGAGTAATTTCAGGCATTTTGTCAAGAGATGTATAAGAGATAACTGAGTACAAAATTAATACCAAAACCCCTCAACATATGATTTTTTTTTCTTATTAAGTAGAGAACTTTCATTTTTTCAGTTAAAGGAAACATTTTGAGGCTTCTCTTTGTCATATTCAAATAGCCAGCATCGCTACTCTTGCAACTTGTGGCCATTATTTAGTAAAACTTGGGTTACTTGAACATAAGCACTGTGATATTTAGACAGTTAATCCAATAACTGACAGGGCTACTAAGTAACTAATAAGTGGGTAGGATATAAAGTGTGGATTTTTGTCATGCTAACTGGATCCCGACCTATGACTACAGACAAAAATAAACTCAAAGTGGATTATAGGCTTAAATGTATGATTCAAAACTGTGAAGCTACTAGCAGAAATCATAGGGAAAATACTTCATGACACTGGACTGGACAATGATACTTTGGGTAAGACCTCAAAAGCACAGGCAACAGAAGCAAAAATAGACAGATGGGATTATATAAAACTTGAAAGCTTCTACACCACAGAGGAAACAATCAGCAAGGTGAAAACAACCTACCACATGGGGGAAAATATTTGCAAACTATACATCTGAAAAAAAGGTTAATATCCAGAATATATAAGGAACTCAAACAACTCAATAGCAAACAAACAAAAAATCCCTAAATAATTGGATTTAAAAATAGGCAAAAGGCCTTAATAAACATTTTTCAAATTAAGACATAAAAATGGCCAAGAGGTATGCCTTAGTCCATTTTGTGTTGCTGTAACACAATGCCTGAGATTGGGTAAATATATATAAGGAAAAGAGGTTTATTCAGCTCACAGTTCTGCATGCTGGGAAGTTCAAGGTCATGGTCCCGCCTTTTGGTGAGAGCCTTCATGCTGTGTCATAACATGGCAAAGATGGTTTAAGGGAAAGTGGACACATGCAAAGAATCAAAATTCAAGGAGTGTCCTGGCTTTAAAGCAACCCACTCTTGTGGGAACATTCCTGTAAAAACCAATCCAGTCTCAAGAGAGCAAGAACTCATTAGTATGAAAACAGCAGCAAGACATTCATGAGAAATCCACCCTCATGACCCAAACATTCCTATTAGGCACTACCTCCAAACACTGCCACACTGGGGATCAAATTTTATTATGAGTTTTGGTGGGGACAAACTCAAACCATAGTAAAGTATATAAAAATTCTCAACATCACTAATCATCAGAGAATTACAAATTAAAACCACAATGTCATATCACCTCATTCCAATTAGAACTGCTAATATAAAAAAGACAACAGATAACAAGTGTTGGCAAGCATATGAAGAAATGGGAACTATTACACACTTCTTTGGAAATGTAAATTAGTACAGCCATTCGAGGAACACTATGGAAGTTCCTCAAAAAACTAAAAATAGAACTATCGTATGATCCAATAATCTCACTACTGGGTATATATCCAAAGGAAATGCAATCAGTATGTTGAAGAGATATCTGCCCTGCCATATTTACTGCAGTACTATTCACAATAGCCACAATACGGAATCAAGCTAAGTGCTCAACAATGAATGAATGGATAAGAAAATGTGGTATATATAAACAATGGAATACTATTTAGCCATAAAGAAGAATAAAATTCTGTCATTTGTGGCAACATGGATGAGCTTGGAGGACATTACATTAAACAAAATAAACCAGACACAGAAAGACAAATATCACATATTTTCAATCATAGGAATAATGTTTAAAAGTTGATTTCATAGAAGTAGTAAATAGAATAGTAGCTACTAGAAACTGGGGAAGAGAAGGGAGATGAGGAGAGTAACTCCTTTGGGTACAAAGTTGCAATTAGAAAGGAAAAAGAATTTCTGGTGTCTTATTGCATAGTGGGGTGACTATGGTCAATAATATGGTATTGTATACCTCCAAATAGATAGATGAGAGGAATTTTTATGTTCCCACCACAAAGAAATGATAAATGTTTGAGGTGATGGATATACTAATTACTCAATTTAATAATTACACAATGTATACATATATTGAAACATCACATTGTACCTCATAAATATGTAAAATTATTATGTGTCAATTTAAAACATTAAATAAAAATAAAATTGTAACTTAAAAACTTATGGATTACTTATTTCTGAAATATTCCATTTAATATTTTCAGACAGTGGTTGGTCTTGGGTAACTGAAACCATGAAAAGTGTAACCATGGATGAAGGGGGACTACTGTACTTGAAAACCACAGTTGATTCACAATTTTTCTCCAATTGAACCTTTGTTTCAGAGTGGTTAAGATTAAAAGGTATCTTTTCCTGGTGTTTTGCTTACTCTTACTGACCTGCCAGGTTTTGATAGAGGCTTATCAGGCAGCTGCCCAAAGTTAGGTAACAACAGGCTGAAGAATGACTGGAAGGCTCAAGTCTTTCTGAGATGGACTTCATAATGAAAACCTTAACTAAAACATCTTTGCTAAAGTTTGAAGCCAAAAGAAAGAATAAAGGGCAAATCTATTCCCAAACAATCAAAGTTATTGTTGTCATGCACTGTTTAAGAAGTGTGGAATATCACACCTCTAATTTACTGAAAGAGCTTTTGAGTTGAGTCATGGCTAGTGTCAGCTTGGAAGTTAAGCAAGGGCTGATTGTGAATATGACATACTCTTTATTTTTTGCCCACTGACATGAAGAGAACTCCAAAATTGTTTTTGTGTCATTAACACTTTTGGACGCCTCTTTTATGGGTTCATGAACAAATGCAACCTAGGGCTTCCACTGCGCTAGTTTATTTGTCTTATTTCTGAAAGATCTGACTGATTCAACTCACACCTTAGGTGAAAGATTAATGGCTTAGTTTGATAAAATAAGAAGAGTAGTTCTTTGGAATTCCTAGGTTAGAGTCAATCTTATTTATATATTGTTTTGATTCAATTACATTGCAAGAGTAGTGGGAAGGTGGAGTTTGAAGGAATTTTCTGGATTCATAGATAAGAAAAAATGTGCATAACTTGGTTGAAACACAAATTTTAAAGATAACAAGAACTATTAATCTGAGCAGCTTTTTGGAGTATCTGTGTCTATAACTTGGTTATGTTTTGTTTTACTTTAATCATGTGGCAGAATTTTTTCTTTTTTTGCAGGACTTGTGAACACGAATTAGCAACAACATGAACATATGTATGTATTATTAAGACTGTGAAAGAATACATAATAATAAAAGTCAAAAGTTGTTTCAAAAATGTATATTTCAGTAAAATAATAAACATAAACATTAAAAAACATCATTATAAAAAAGAAGGAAAGACAATGTGAAGAATAAAAAAGGAAGAAATGAGCAGAATGTAAGTTATTTCATTCCAGTGGGACTTCAGAATATAAAATAATGATAGCTATCATTTATCGACTTTTTAAAAATGTTCTGGGTACAGTTCTAAGTAATTTAAATATGCTAGTTCACATAATCTTCAAAGAGGTAAGTATGATTATTATCCCCACTATATAGGTGAGGAGTAAGCAAAATGAGACACAGGAATGTTAGGTAAATTTGCCAAGATCACACAACCAGGATGTTGAAAAGTTTAGAATCTAACGTAAGCAATCTGACTCCAGAGCTCAAGTTCTTAATGACTGCAATATAATGTGAGAAACCAACTTCCTACTCATACTACTAAGAGCCTCTTTTAGTACCTACTTTTAAAGTTATGCTAGTAACACTTGAGAAAAAAAAAAGATGAATATTTTTGGTAAACCATTTTTTAAAAACTCTGACCAAGCTACTATTTGGCTCAAATAATAGGCAAGTGATCTTACTTGTACCCTTGCGTAGAGACATAAATATGAAATGCAAGATAGTAAGGTGCAATGGTTATTTACTAATGTTATATGTCCAGATGTAGACATTTTGATTTAGCCACTATCACAGTCACTTCTTGGACTTTGTTATCATCTGGATAGTTAAATGTAACTTATATAGAGGAAAAGTTGAATTAAAATAGCAGAAGTAAGAATCAGTAGAAGCCAAGGACCTCCACCTCTGGCTATAATGACGCAATTTCTATCATATTAACTTTCTCACTGAAAACACTTGTAAACACTGGATGAAAACGAACCAGTCCAAACCAAACCAAAATTCTTACTTGCGTGAAGGCATCAGAGAGCAATCAGGCATCTAGGACGTGGGAGACTGAAATCCCAGAGAGAGGGGAAACACTGAGGTGAGCCAAACCATACCTGATGCTGTTGTTATTTGGGGGTATTTGCTCATACTTACGTGGGACATGTAAGTTAAAAATAAATTCATATTATAAAGTGTTCAGCAGTCTTAACAAAAACCAGACTTAATATCTTAAGATATTAAGAGAGACAAAAACCAGAATTAATATATTAAGAATAAAAGTGAACTACAGAGAAGGAGGCAGAACTAATAGTACTGTCGAAAAACAAAATAAATAACAATTAAAATTTAGGGCTTGCCAAGGAAGAGGAGCCCAGGAAAATCCTCAGGATTTTAGTTGAGATAATTAAAGGGCAAACCAGAAATAGACCAGCTGTCAAAATGCCTGATGACAAGCCTAAAACCATCTCAGTTCCTAATTGAATCAAGGTGTTTTGTCCTTCTAACTATAGGAGGGCAAATTCTACCTAGAATAAGATAGCATCCAGATTATCACCAAGTTTTTATATACACTATCCAGCATGCAATCTAAAATTAGTCATCTTTGAACAATGTAGGACCAAATGAGATAAAACCATGAGATAAAACTACACAATAGAAGCACACCAAGTGATTTATATATTTGAATTTCCAGACACTTTAAAATAACTTTGATTATGCCTGCCCCATGAGCCTATGTATTTACTCAAAATAAATCAGTGTATATATAACAAAATACATAAATAACAAAGTTCATTGCAGCTTGATTCATAACTAAAAGTAGAAACAAACCATATATCCATAAACAGTTGGGATTAGTGTACTTTGTATATTTAATATATGAATGTTACATTTTAATAAAAAAGCAAGGCTAATAAAATAATTATGATTAATGTATTCAAAATATGAAAAGAAAACAAAAAAATGTAGTAGAAAACTGGAATCTATATTACAAATTAAGATTAAAGCACCAAACAATAAAATATTTGAAAGGGGATTGGGGCCAAGATGGCCAACTAGAAGCAGCGGCAGTTAGAGGCTCCCACTGAGAAGAACCAAAATGCATGTAAATCCTGCACCGGCAACTGAAGTACGCAGGTTCTATCATCAGGACTGACTAGATGGTTGGTGTGACTCTCAAAGAGCAAGGAAAACAGTGTGGTGTGTTGGCCCACCTGAGAGCCACATGAGGCAGGGGAGCCCCCACTCCCTAGCCAAAACAGGCGGTGAGTGAGCATGCTACTCAGCCTGGGGAACCATGCATTTTCTATGGAACTGTGCAACCCAAAGATCCGAAGATCCTAGTTGTGAGCCCATGCCACCAGAGCCTTGGGCCCCAACCACAGGGCCATGAAAATTCTCAACAGCCACTCAGCTGAAATCTGCCTAAGATCACCGAGATCCAGGGGTAGAAGCAGCTGCTACCTGCTGCTTAAGATGTCTGAGCTCCCTGGGCAGGGGGGGTGACAGTCATCACTGTGGCTGCTCCTTAAAATGCTGAACTCCTTGTCGGGGAAGAGTGGCAGTCAGCACTGTAGCTCCAGGCTGAATTTTTCCCCTGCTGGAGCTGGGGAGACTGGATGGCTTGGTTCCAAGAGGTACTCCCCACAGTGCAGCAAACTGGCTGTGGCAGAGAGTGGCCAGACTGCCTCTTTAGGCCAGACTCTGACCCATCCCTTCTCACTTGGTTGGGCCTCCAGGCAGGAACTCCAGCAACTCCAGCCAGGGTCCCAGGGACGGAACTCTGACCTCCCTTGGCCTGAGACCCTAGGGAGAGGGTTGGCCATAGTCTCCTCAGACCAGCAGGTTTAGTCTTTCCCCCGCTAGTTCTGAGGAATCCAGGCAGCTGAGACAAGTGGGTTTCCCCTCAGCACAGCACAAATCCTCCACAAAAAAACAGTCAAAGTGCTTGTTAAATGGGTTCTGGTTCCCCTGCTCCCCAACTAGGTGAGGCCTCCCCACAGAGGGGTCACCAGAAACCTTATACAGGAGCATTCTTATTGGCATTAGGTCAGTGCCCCTCAAGGTCAGCAATCCCAGAGGAAGTAGCAGGCACAAATCTTTGCTGTTCTTCAGCCTCCTCAGGTGACATCTCTAGGTACAGGAGCACCCCAGATGAATAGGGCCTGAAGTGAACTCCCAGCAAACTGCAGCAGCCCTGTAGAACAGGGACCTGACTATTGAAAGAAAAACAAACAGCAACAACAACAGAATCAACAAAAAAGTCCCCACAAAAGCCTCCTCCGAGGGTCAGCAGCCTCAAAGATCAAAACTAGATGAACTCATGAAGATGATGAAGAATCAATAAAAAAAACTCTGAAAACTCAAAAGGCCAGAGTGTCTTTTCTCCTCCAAATGATCACAAGACATCTCCAGCAAAGGCACAGAACTGGAAGGAGGATGAGATGGACAAACTGAAAGAAGTAGGCTTTAGAAGGTGGCTAATAACAAACTTCACTGAAGTAAAGAAGCATGTTCTTACCCAATGCAAAGAAGCTAAGAACCATGATAAAAGGTTACAGGAGCTGCTAACTAGAATAACCAGTTTAAAGAGGAATATAAGTGACCTGATAGAGCTGAAAAACAGCATGAGAACTTATGATACATATACAAGTATCAGTAGCTGAATCAATCAAACAGAAGAAAGAATATCAGAGGTTGAAGACTATCTCACTGAAATAAGGCAGGCAGACAAGATTAGAGAATATAAAAATAAAAAGGAATGAACAAAACATCCAACAACTATGGGACTATGTAAAAAGACCAAAACTATGACTGTTTGGAGTACCTGAAAGAGACAGAGAGAATGGAACCAAGTTGGAAAACACATTTCAGGATATCATCCAGGAGAACTTCCCCAGCCTAGCAAGACAGGCCAACATTCAAATTCAGGAAATACAGAGAACCCTAGTAAGATACACGAGAAGATCAACTACAAGACACATAATTATCAGATTCTCCAAGGTTGAAATGAAGGAAAAAATGTTGAGGGCAGCCAGCGAGAAAGGCCAGGTCACCTACAAAGGGAAGCCCATCAGACTAACAACAGACATCTTGGCAGAAACCCTACAAGCCACAAGAGAGTAGGGTTCAATATTCAACATTTTTTAAAACAAGAATTTTCAACCCAGAATTTCATTTCTGGCCAAAATAAGCTTCATAAGCAAAGCAGCAATAAAATCTTTTTTAGACAAGCAAATGCTGAGAGAATTTGTCACCACCAGGCCTGCCTTGCAAGAGCTCCTGAAGGAAGCACTAAATATGGAAACAAAAAACCAGTACCAGCCTTTGCAGAAATGCACTGAAATGCAAAGACCAATGACACAATGAAGAAACTGCATCAACCGGCATGCAAAATAACCAGCTGGCATCATGATGACAGGATCAAATTCACACACAACAATATTAACCTTAAATGTAACTGGGCTAAATGCCCCAATTAAAAGACAAAATTGGTTAGAGTCAAGACCCATCAGTGTGCTGTATTCAAGATACCCATCTCATGTGCAAAGACACACATATCCACAAAATAAAAGGATGGAAGAAAATTTACCAAGCAAATGGAAAGCAGAAAAAAAGCAGGGATTGCAATTCTAGTTTCTGACAAAATAGACTTTAAACCAACAAAGATAAAAAAAGACAAAGAAGGGCATTACATAATGCCCAAAATTCAACAAAAAGATCTGACTATCCTACATGTATATGCACCCAATACAGGAGCACCCAGATTCATAAAACAAGTTCTTAGAGACCTACAAAGAGACTTAGACTCCCAGACAATAATAGTGGGAGACTTTAACACCCCACTGTCAATATTAGACAGATCATCAAGACAGAAAATTAACAAGGATATTCAGGACTTTAACTGAGCTCTGGATCAAGTGGACCTGATAGGTATCTACAGAACTCTGCACCCCAAAGCAAAAGGATATATATTCTTCTCAGTGCCACAGGGCACTTACTTTAGAATCGATCAAATAATTGGAAGTAAAACACTCCTCAGCAAATGCAAAACATTGAAATAATAACAAACAGTCTCTCAGACCACAGTGCAATTAAATTACAACTGAAGATTAAGAAACTCCCTCAAAACCACACAACTACATGGAAATAGAACAACCTGCTCCTGAATGACTTCTGGGTAAACAATGAAATTAAGGAAGAAATCAAAAAGTTATTTGAAACCAATGAGAACAAAGAGACAACATACCAGAATCTCTGGGACACAGCTAAAGCAGTGTTAAGAGGGGAATTTATAGCCCTAAATGACCACATCAGAAAGGTAAAAAAATCTCAAATCAATACCTTAACATCACAACTAAAAGAACTAGAGAAGCAACAACAAACAAACCCAAAAGCTAGCAGAAGACAAGAAATATCTAAGATCAGAGTGGAACTGAAAGAGATAGAGACACAAAAAATCTTTCAAACAATCAATGGCTTCAGGAGCTGACTTTTTGAAAAAAAATAAAATAAAATAGACAGACTGGCCAAGGAGGGTGGATCACTTGAGGTTAGGAGTTCGTGACCAGCCTGGCCAACATGGTGAAACCCCATCTCTACTAAAAATATAAAAGTTAGCCAGGTCTGGCAATGCATGGCTGTAATCCCAGCTACTCGGGAAGCTGAGGCAGGAGAGTTGCTTGAATGTGGGAGGTGGAGGTCACAGTGAGCTGAGATTGTGCCGCTGCACTCCAGCCTGGGCAACAGAGGGAGAGTCCATTTCAAAAAAAAAAAAAAAAAAAAAAAAAACAGCTACCTAGATGAATAAAGAAGAAAAGACAGAAGAATCAAATAGACACAATAAAAAACGATAAAAACTGTTATCACCACTGACCCAAAAGAAATACAAACTACCATCAGAGAATACTATAAGCACCTCTATGTGAATAAACTAGAAAATCTAGAAGAAATGGATAAATTCCTGGACACATACACCCTCCCAGGACGAAATCAGGAAAAAGTCAAATCCTTGAATAGACCAATAAAAACTTCGGAAATTGAGGCACCAATTAATAACCTACCAACCAAAAAATCTCAGGACAAGACTAATTCGCAGGTAAATTATACCGGAGGTACAAAGAGGAGCTGGTACCATTCCTTTTGAAACTGTTCCAAACAAAAGAAAAGGAGGAACTTCTCCCTAAATCATTTTATGAGGCCAGCATCATACTGATACCAAAACCTGGCAGAGACACAACCAAAAAAGGAAACTTCAGGCCAATATCTCTGATGAACATCGATGCAAAAATCCTCAATTAAATATTGGCAAACCAAATCCAGCATTACATCAAAAAGCTTATACACCACAACCAATTCAGCTTCATCCCTGGGATGCAAGGCTGGTTCAACACACCAAATCAATAAACATAATTAATCACATAAACAGAACCAATGACAAAAACAACATGATTATCTTGATAGATGCAGAAAAGCTCTTCAATAAAAATTCACATCCCTTTATGTTAAAAACTCTCAATAAACTAGGTATTGATGGAACATATGTCAAAATAATAAGAGCCATTTATGACAAACCCACAGCCAATATCATATTGAATTGGCAAAAGCTGGAAGCATTCTCTTTGAAAACCAGTACAAGACAAGGATGCCCCTGTCACCATTCCTATTCAACATAGTACTGGAAGTTTTGGCCAGGACAATCAGGCAAGAGAAAGAAATAAAGCGTATTCAGATAGAAAGAGAGGAAGTCAAATTGTCTTTGTTTGCAGGTGACTTGATTCTATATCTATTAAACCCCATTGTCTAAGCCCAAAAGCTTCTTAAGCTAATAAGCAACTTTAGCAAAGTCTTGAGATACAAAATCAATGTGCAAAAATCACAAGCATTCCTATACACCAACAATAGACAAGCAGAGAGCCAAATCATGAATAAACTTCCATTCACAATTGCTACAAGGAGAATAAAATACCTAGGAATACATCTAACAAGGGATGTGAAAGATCTTTTCAAGGAAAACTAAAAATCACTGCTCAAGGAAATCAGAGAGGACAAAAACAAATAGAAAAACATTCCATCCTCGTGAATAGAAAGAAAATGGCCATACTGCCAAAAGTAATTTATAGATTTGATGCTATTCTCATCAAACTGCCATTGACATTCATTGCAGAATCAGAAAAATACTACCTTAAAATGTATATGGAACCAAAAAAGAGCCCATATAGCCAAGACAATCTTAAGCAAAAAGAACAAAGCTGGAGGCATTACGTTACCTGACTTCAAAGTATACTACAAGTCTACAGTAACCAAAACAGCATGGTAGTGGTACAAGAACAGACACATAGACCAATGGAACAGAATAAAGATCTCAGAAATAACACCTCACATCTACAACCATCTGATCTTCGACAAACCTGACAAAACAAGCAATAGAGAAAGGATTCTCTTTTTAATAAACCGTGCTGGAAAAACTGCCTAGCCATATGAAGAAAACTGAAACTGGACCATTTCCTTACACCTTATACAAAAATTAACTCAAGATGGATTAAAGACTTACATGTGAAATCTCAAAATACAAAAACCCTAGAAAAAAATGTAGGCAATATGATTCAGGAAATATGCATGAGCAAAGATTTTATGATGAAATCCCCAAAAGCAATTGCAAAAAAAGCTAAAATTGACAAATGGCATTTAATTAAACTAAAGAGCTTCTGCACAGCAAAAGAAACTATCTTCAGAGTGAACAGACAACCTACAGAATGAGAGAAAATTTTTGCAATCTACCCATCTGACAAAAGTCTAATACCCAGACTTTACAAAGAACTTAAACAAATGTACAAGAAAAAAACAAATAACCTCATTAAAAAGTGGGCAAAGGACATGAACAGATGCTTTTCAAAAGAAGACACTTATGTAGCCAACAAACATGAAAAAAAGCTAAACATCCTGATTATTAGTGAAATGCAAATCAAAACCACAATAAGATACCATCTCATGTCCGTCAGAATGACGATTATTAAAAAGTCAAGAAACAACAGATGCTGGCGAGGCTGCAGGTAAATAGAAATGCTTTTACACTGTTGGTGGTAATGTAAATTAGCTCAACCACTGTGGAAGACAGTGTGGTGATTCCTCAAGGATCTAGAACCAGAAATACCATTTGACCCAGCAATCCTATTACTGGGTATATACCCAAAGGAATACAAATCATTTTATTATAAAGATACATGCACATATATGTTTATTGCAGTACTATTCACAATAGCAAAGACTTGGAACTAACCCAAATGCCCAACAATGATAGACTGGATAAAGAAAATGTGGTACATATACGCCATAGAATACTATGCATCAATAAAAAGGAACAAGATTATGTCCTTTGCAGGAACAGGGATAAAGCTAGAAGCCATTATCCTCAGCGAACTAACACAAGAACAGAATACCAAACTGTATGTTCTCACTCATAAGTGAGAGCTGAACAATGAAAACACATGGACACAGGGAGGAAAACAACACATACCATGGCCTGTCAGGGGGACAGAGGGAGGGAGAACATCAGGACAAATAGCTAATGCATGCAGGGCTTAGTACCTAGGTGATGGGTTGACAGGTACAGCAAACCACCATGGCACATGTTTACTTATGTAACAAACCTGCATGTTCTGCATATGTATCCTGTAACCTAAAATAAAATAAAATTAACAAAAAATATTTGAAATCAATATCTCAATCAGATGGTTTTAAAAGCACATTAGACACAACAGAAGAGAAGATTAGTAAAGCAGAAGATAGGTCCATTAAATGAGAAAATGGAGGGAAAATAGGATGGATATATATATAAAAGAGCATGGAACTTGTGGTATAGTAAAACGATCTAGCATGTGTGTAATTGGAATCTGACAAGGAGGAGAAAGAGAACAGGACAGAAAAAATGTTTTAAGAGATCTGGCTACCTTTTTCCAGAACTGATGAAAGTCAGGAAGTTCCAGAATCATGAAACTCTATGAATGCCAAGCAGGGCAAATTCAAAGAATGCCACCTAGAAATATTCTAGTAAAACAAATAAAAATGAAAGACAAAGAGATACATTTTTAAAGCAGCAAGAAAGAAGACACATTAACAATTAACCTACAAAATAGCAACAACATGCCTCACAATTTAATGACATATTTGAAGTGTTAAAACAAGTACCAAACTAGAATTTGTTCCCCCAAAAATGAAGGTTACTCTTACTTCTGCTTCTATTCATGAGTGTAATTTCTTCTGTCAACGAGGTAGTAAGTCCAGAATAACTTTTTTTCACTGTAAAAAACTAGAAAACTGGAGAAAATATAGAAAATAACTATTTTCCACCCAAATAGAGCACAAACAAATAATCACTTAGAAAACAGAAACATAAGATGTGAACCCTAAAGTCACCTAAGCTTGCTACTGGGAAGTAACCCCAAGATTACTACATAAGGAGGGACAATGAAAACAAAACTTTGGGATCTCTTTGAGTTGAGGAGACAAAAAAAAAAAAAATGACAGTTCAGGGAGGCAATAAATTTCAGGGTAGAGTGCTTGAGAGAAGGGAACTACATGGAGAAAAAGTTCCATAAATCAGGATAGGCATTTCCTTGAGCCTTTGGCTGAATACCAATCTCTGTATGCATATGAAAAAAACCAACATGCCCAGAAAAATCAATTTCTAAAGAAAATCAATTTTCAAGGAACTGTCAGCCAAAAATCTTACAGTTCTCAGAAGGCTGAGAATTATTCAACTTACCTCCTGCCAAAGGGCAAAGACCTAAAGGGCTAAATCTAAAAAATGAAAAAAATATTGGCCCCAGAATAAAGACAACTCTATGACTGATGTAAATAATTTACAAATAAACACTAAAATTATCAAGTTAATTTCCAAATTACTTAACTGCCTGCCAAAAAAGTACAACAGGCTTAGAAAGAAGACAACAAAATCCAGAATTCAACAACATAAAATTTACAATGATTAGCATCCAATCAAGATTTTCTAGCTATATAAGGAAACAAGAAAAATATGGCCCATAACCAGGGATAAACCCATCAGTAGAAACAGACTCAGACATGACAGAGAAGATGAAATTACAATAAGAATACTAAAACAGCTATTATAAATATGCTCTGATGAAATGTGAAATACACTGAATGAGAGTCACAGCAGATTAGACATTTTAGAAAAAATTGTGAACTTGAAGAAGTAGCAGAAGTAATGCAAAATGGGGCATAGAAGTAAGAAAGACGGAAACACACAGGGAGGAGAACAACACACACTGGGGCCTGTCAGGGGGACAGAGGGAGGGAGAACAACAGAACAAATAGCTAAAGCATGCAGGGCTTAATACATAGGTAATGGGTTGATAGGTACAGCAAACCACCATGGTACACATTTACCTATTTAAAAAGCCTGCACATTCTGCATTTGTATCCTGGAACCTAAAATAAAATAAAATAAACATAAAAATATTTGAAATCATTATCTCAATCAGATAGTTTTAAAAGCACATTAGATATAACAGAAGAGAAGATTAGTAAAGCAGAAGATAGGTCAGTTGAATAAGAAAATGGAGGGAAAATAGGATGGATATATAATATATATATATGAGCATAGGACATGTGTTACAGTAAAAAGATCTAGCATGTGCGTAATTGTTATCTGAAAGGGGAGAGAAAGAAAACAGGAGAGAAAAAATGTCCTGAAAAAAGATTGAGAAAGCAAACAGAACATTAGTGAACTGTGGGACAATATCAAACTATTCAATATATATGTAATTGGAGTCCCAGAAGGAGTATTTGATGAAAAATTAATATGAATAAATAATGACCAATCTTTTTCCCCAAATTTGGAGAAAACTATAAGCCCAAAAATGAAAAAAACTAAACAAAGATTTAGCTTTAGACAAAAGAAACATTAAGAAAACCGTAAAAAAGCACGATAAATAAAAGCAATTAAGGACTTCTTAAATATATTCCAAAGTTTTTATTTTAAAGTAGTTTCAAATTTACAGAAAAGTAGCAAGAAAAATTCAAAGAATTCTTATGTACCTTTCACAAAGATTTGTCATTTTTTAACAGTTTACCATATTGCTTTATTGTTCTCTCCCTCTCTCAGATATATATTATGATTTGTTTTTTTCCGAAGCCTTTGAAAATAGGTTGCATGCATCATACCAACATATCTTTGAATACTTCCATATATATTTTCTAAGAAGAAAAATATTCACCTAACATAACCATAATACAGTTATCAAGTTCAGAACTTTAACATTAAAAGAATAGTTTTATAAAATATATGGACTACATTATAATATAGATATATATATGATATATTTTCTCATAATATCTCATATAACATTTTCCCTTCCTGTACAAGGTAATCAAGGATCGTGTGTTGCAGGAACTTGTCATGTTTCTGTATTCTCCTATCATCTGGAGCAGTTTCTTGGCCAATGACATATATATATATATATATATACACATATATAATTTGCTTTCCAACATTTATTGTCCCCCAGGTAAGGAGCATAATGCCTAACAGGCAGATTTTTATTCTACATCTTCCTCCCAACCTCACCCTCAAGTAGACCCTGGTGTCTCTAGTTCTCTCTTTGTGTCCTTGTGTAGTCAATATTTAGCTCCCACTTATAAGTGAGAACATGCAATATCTGGTTTGCTGTTCATGTATTAATTCACTTAGGATAATGGCCTCCAGCTCCAAAATATTGCTGCAAAGGACATAATTTTTTTTATGACTGCATATTATTTCATGTTGTATATGTACCATATTGTATTTATCCAGCTCACCATTGATGGGTACCTGGGTTGATCCCATGTCTTTGCTATTGTGAATAGCACAGCAATGAATATGCCTATGCATGTGTCTGTATGGCAGAATAATTTCTATTCCTTTGGGTATATATCCAGTAATGGGATTGCTGGGTTGAGTGGTGTAAGTTCTTTGAGAAACCTCCAAACTGCATTCCACAGTGTTTGTTCATGTCCTTTGTTCATTTTTTAATGGGGTTGTTTGTTTTTGCTTGTTGATTTAAGTTTTTTTTAAAGATTCAGGATATTAGACCTTTACTGGATGCATAATTTGCAAATATTTCCTCTCATTCTGGAGGTTGTCTGTTTACTCTGTTGATAGTTTCTTTTGCTGTTCAGAAGCTCTTTAGTTTAATTAGGTCCCACCTTTTTATTTTTGTTTTTGTTGCAATTGCTTTTGGGGTCTTTGTCATAAAATCTTTGCCAGGGCTGATGTTCGGAATGGTATTTCTTAGGTCTTTGCCTGAGGTAATTATAGTTTTCAGTTTTATATTTATACTACGTTTAGTTAATTGTTGTATATAGTAAAAGGAAGAGTCCAGTTTCAATCTTCTGCATATAGCTAGTCAGTCACCCTAGCACCATTTATTGAATAGGGAGTCATTTCCCCATTGCTTGTCATTATTGACTTTGTTGAAGATCAGATGGTTGTAGGTGTGTGAATTTATTTCTGGGCTTGTAACATGTTCCATCGGTTTATATTTCTGTTTTTATACTGAAATTATGCTGTTTTGGTTACTGTAGCCTTGTAGTATAGCTTGAAGTAGGTAGTGTAATGCCTCCAGCCTCATTGTTTTTGCTTAGGATCATTTTGGCTATTCAGACTTTTTTGTTCTATATAAATTTTAGAATAATTCCTTCTAATTCTGTGAACAATGTCATTGATAGTTTGATAAGAATAGCACTGAATCTATGCTTTGAGCAGTATGGCCATTTTAACAATATTGATTTTTTTTCTATCCATGAGCATGGAATGTTTTTCCATTTGTGTGTGTTGTCTCTGATTTCTTTCTTCAATGTTTTGCAATTCTCATTGTAGGGTTCTTTCACCTCCCTGGTTAGCTGTATTCCTACGTATTTTACTCTTTCTGTGGCTATTGTGAATTGGATTGTGTTCTTGACTTGGCTTTTATGGACATCATTGGTATACAGAAATGCTACTGATTTTTCTACATTAATTTTGTATCCTGAAACTCTACTAAAGTTGTTTATCAGGATCTAGGAGTCTTTGGACAGAGACTATAGAGTTTTCTAGGTATAAAATTATATAATCTGTAAAGAGACAGTGTTTGATTTTCTCTCATCCTGTTTAGATGCATTTTCTTTCGTTCTATTGCCTGATTGCTCTGTCTAGGACTTCCAGTACTATGGACTGAGGGTAGTGAGTTTGAGCCCTGTTGTCTTGTTTTGCTTCTCAAGAGGAATGCTTCCAGCATTTGCCCATTTGGTATAATGTTGGCTGTGGGTTTGTCATAGAATCCTCTTATTATTTTGTGGTATGTTCCTTCGATGCCTAGTTTCCTGAGGGTTTTTAACATAAAGCAATGTTAAATTTTATTGAAAGCCTTTTGGGCATCTATTGAGATGATCACATGGTTTTGTGTTTAGTTCTTTTTATGTAATGAATGACATGTATTGATTTGTGTGCATTGAACCAACTTTGCATCCCAAGAATAAAGCCTATTTGATTTTGTTGTATTAGTTTTTTAATGTGCTGCTAGATTGGTTTGCTAGTAGTTTGTTAATAATTTTTGCATCTATTTTTATTAAGTACATTGGCCTAGAGTTTTCTTTTTGTTATATCTCTGGCAGGTTTTGATGTCAGAATGAGTTAAAGAGGAGTCCCTCCTTTTCAAATTTTTGGAATAGTTTCAGTAAGATTGGCACCTACTGTTTTTTATTTTTTATTTTTTGAGGCAAGGTCTTGCTTTGTTTCCCAGGTCGAAGTGTTGTGGCACAAACACAGCTCATTGCAGCCTCGACCTCCTGGGCTCAAGCAATCCTTCTGCCTCAGCCCCATGAGTAGTTTGGACTACAGGCACTTGCCATCACACCTGGGTAATTTTTGTATTTTTTGTAGAGATGGGGTTTTGCCATGTTGTTTGGGCTGGTCTCAAACAACTGAACTCAAGTGATCTACCTGCCTTGGCCTCCCAAAGTCCAACTTTTCTTTATACATCTTGGCTGTCAATCTATGTTGTCCAGGGTTTGTTTTGGGTTTTTTTTTTTTTTGAAGGTTTTTATTATTGATTCAATTTCAGAACTTGTTCTGTTGAGGATTTCAATTTCTTTCTGGTTCAGTCTTGAGAGGTTGTATGTTTCTAGAAATTTATCCACTTTTTGTAGATTTTACCATTTGTATGAATAGAAGTGTTTATAATTGTCTCTGGCATTATTTTATATTTCTGTTGGGTTGGCAGTAATGTCCCCTTTGTCATTTATGATTGTGTTTATTTTGATCTTCTCTCTTTTTTTTCTTTATTACTTTAGCTAGTGATATATCGGCCTTATTTATTCTTTCAAAGAACAAGCTTTTGGTTTTGTTAATCTTCTGTATGGTTTTTCTCATCTCCACATTAATTATTTTAGCTCGGATTTTTGTTATTTTCATCTTCTAGATTTCAGGTTGGTTTGTTCTTGTTTTTCCAGTTCCTCTAAGTATGATGCTAGTTTGTTAATTTGAGATCATTATTACTTTTCTTGATGTGGGAATTTAGTGCTATTAACTTTCCTCTTAACACTGCTGTAGCTGTGTCCCAGAGATTCTGGTACATTGTATCTTTGTTTTTATTAGTTTCAAATAATTTCTTGATTTCTGCCTTAATTTCATTTTTTTTTACCCAAAAGTCATTCAGGAGCAGGTTGTTTAATTTCCATGTAATTGTATGGTTTTGAGAGATCTTCTTGGTATTAATTTCTATTTTTATTGCACTGTGGTTGAGAATGTAGTTTGTATAATTTTGTTTTTTTTAAAAAATGTTGAAAATTGAGTTGTGGCAGAGTGTGTTGTTGATTTTAGACTATGTATCATGTGAAGATAAGAAGAATGTATATTTTGTTTTTGCTGGGTGGAGTATTCTGTGGGTGTCTCAGGTCCATTTAGTCAAGTGTACAGTTTAGTTCTCATATATTTTTGTTAGTTTTCTGCCTCAGTGATCTGTCTAATGCTGTTAGTGAAGTATTGAAGTTAGTCATTCTTATTGTGTGGTTATTTAAGCCTCTCAACAATCTCTAGGAACTTGTTCTGTGAATCTGGATGCTCCAGTGTTGGGTGCATATATATTTAGGATAGTTAAGTCTTCTTGTTGCATTTAACCTTTTATTATAATGTAATGCCCTTTTTCCTATTCAATCACTGTTGACATAAAGTCTGTTTTGTCTAAAATAAGAATAGCAGTCCCTGCTTTTTTTTCTTGTTGTTTTCCATTTGCTTGATAGCAAATTCCTATACTTTGAGTCCATGGGTGTCCTTGGTCTCTTGAAGACAGCATATAGGTGAATCTTAATTATTTATCCAACTACCCATTGTGTGCCTTTTATGTGGGGCATTTAACCTATTTATGTTCAATGTTATAATGATGTGTGCAGATTTGATCTTGTTATTGTGTTGTTAATTGGTTGTTATGTAGGCTTGATTGTGTAGTTTTTTTTTTTAATAGTGTCTATGTACTTAAGTGTGTGTTTTTTTTTTGGTGGCCAATAATAATTTTTGGTTTTCATGTTTAGCACTCCCTTAAAAACCTCTTATAGGGATAAGGAAGGTGGGTGGTAACATATTCCCTTAACACTTGGTTGTCTGGAAAGAATTTTATTTCCTCTTTGCTTATGAAGCTTAGTTTGCCTGGATATAAAATTCTTGGTTGGAATTTCTTTTCTTTAAGAGTGCTGAATATAGGCCCTAAATATTTTCTGACTTGTAAGGTTTCTGCTGTTAGCCTGATGGGGGTCCCTTTGTTTGTGACCTTCCCCTTCTCTACAGCTGTCTTGAATTTTTTTTCACTTTGACTTTGGAGAATCTGATGAATATGTGTCTTGGGGATAGTCATCTTATATAGTATCTTGCAGGGGTTCTCTGAATTTCCTGAATTTGCATGTGAACCTTTCTATTGAGGTTGCAGAAATTTTCATTGACAATAGCCTCAAATATGTTTTCCAAGTTGCTTGCTTTCTCTCCTCTTTTAGGAACACAGATGAGTCATGGGATTGGTCTCTTTATACAATCTCATATTTCTTGAAGGTTTTGTTTATTTAAAATTTTTATTTTTTATTTTTGTCTGATTGAGTTTATTTGAAGAACTGGTCTTCAAGCACTGAGATTCTTTCCTCAACCTGGTCTATTCTGTTGTAAATAATTGCAATTCTATTATGAAATTCTTGTAGTGAGTTTTTCAGCTCTATCAGGTCAGTGTGTTTCTTTCTTAAAATGGCTATTTTATCTTTCATGTCTTCAATTATTTTACTGGATTCCGTATATTCCTTGAATTGGGTTTCAACTTTTCCCTGAATTACAATAATCTTTGTTGCCATCCAGATTCTGAGTTCTATATCTGTAATTTCAGCCATTGTATTCTGGTTAAAAACCATTGCTGGGGAACTAGTGTGTTTCTTTAGAGATAATAAGACACCCTAGCTTTGAGAGTTGCTAGAGTGCTTGCATTGCTTCTTTCTCATCTGTGTGGGTTGATTTTTTTCAACTGTGGTGTAATTTCAATATAGTCAGTTGGCTTCATTTTTGGATGTTTTCAGAGGGCTTGGTCTCTGTTCAGGTTCTTTGTGGATAAATTCTTGCCCTTGGTTTCACAGTAGGGTATATTAGCAAAGTATGTTTGGTGTTTCAGTTTGGGCTGTAATCCAGTAGATGGTGCTTAAATGTAATGGCTGATAGATAAGTCCTTACTCAGCTGCTCAGCATCTCTGTATTTTCTTGAGTTTGCAGTCATGCTCCCTCTCACTGTTCTGAAAGTGTAGACTCCTTTCCCATTCAAATGCTGTCTACAGATTTTGGCTTGGCATTCCCAGGCGAGTTCAGACTTTTTGTTTTCTCCCCAGCTTTGGAGGAGCATGGGTGGAAACCTTGGCAGTAGCAATGGCAGAGAGACCATCACCTTTCTCTGGGAGCTCCATCCTTTCTCTTCTTCTCTGTAGGGTACCTGTGGTGTGGTAGATATGCAAGTAACACACTCAGGCTGTTTTTTAATTCCCTAGCTGATGTCAGCAAGGCCAGGTACCCGTAAAGTGGCAGTGGCAGAGAGGCTGTCAGTTGTCTCTAAGAACTTCATGTCAGAGAAACACAAAGCTGCTGCCAATGGGAATGTTTAGCTGGAGGCAGGGTGTCTGTACTGCAGGCCCAAGCTGGCAGCCTTGCCTGGTGAAAAGCAGGGGGTCAGGAGCTCACAGGGAAGAGAGACTTGTCTCTTTGATGGTGGCTGTGGTGTGCTGGAGTTGTGAGCAAAGTAATCAAGGTCTTTATTCATTCCCCAGCTCAAAGGCAGCAAGGACAAGTACCACTTCAAGTACCACTTAACAGAGAGCCTATTGGTTGTCTCTGAGAATTTCACCCCATATAAATACAAAGCTGCTACTGACTGAAGTGGGTAGTGTGGCTCCGCTGGGAGTTCAGGCCAGGAGGCCTTGCCCAGTGAGAAGTAGAAGGGGCAGGGACCCACATGGAAAGCAGCCTAGTTGCTTTTCTTTATGGAAGCTTCAGTGTGCTGGAGGCCCATGACAGTTCTTGGGCTCTTTGCTCTCTCCCCAACAAGGGGAGTAGGAGTGGAGGTTGCAGCAGTGGCAAAGGCTATGGGCCTATCAAGTACCCCTGGGGGCTCTATCCCAGAGAAATGCAGAGCTGTGACTGGCCCAAGTGCTCAAACAGAGGTAGGGTGGCTGTGCTGGAGTCCTTGGCCAGTGCTTTTTGCCTGGTGAGGTGCAATGGAGGTGAGACCTGCAGTCCATCCATTCCTTAGCATCATGGATGTATCCCCTATTCTGGTAGTGTGTAAGAGAACCTGGTTTCCTTAGCAGTCTCAATTACATGTTACAATGTTAATTCTTAGCAACTTTTAATTTTGGTGAAAACCTTGCTAAGTTCAGAATTTTAATTATGTACTAGGTGTGGAGCCTAGGACCCAGACAAAAGTGCAGATATGGTTTGACTCTTTCCAGCATCTAACTCCATGTGGCCCAGGCCTTACCTATCTGTAAAGCAGGCAAGTTGTACAGTTAAGAGTCATAGTGGCATTTTATGAAGCATTTAGGAGGCCTAATTATCTTTAAATTGTACAACATTTCTTGCATAAATTCTCTTTCACAAATTATTTCATGACTTACACAGACCATATATAACACGTTTGGATATTCTGACTTTTCCAAAACATCCCTCTTTCAAACAACCAGTTGTTTTACTTCAGGACAAAAATTTACCATACTAGATCCTTTCTTATATAAAATGTCTTTTCTTTAAAACCTTCTTTGCATAGCTAGAAGGCATGGCTAATTTCGCATGTCCCCAGGCCTTATTTAGAATCTAATGCTCCAAAATAAATTGACCAATTTTTAAAAGCCAAAGAAGCAGTTTATGACCTAAAGCATTTAGCAGACCTAATATCTGACCTGCATAATTTAAACCAAATGTTTACATTTTAAGATATTTTTAAGTCACATGAACTAAATAAAAGACATTATACTTTTTACTTTTCAGACAAAATATTTGATAAGCTATTATTATTAAAATAAGCTCTTATTAAACCAATTAAATAAAGCTTTTAAAAATATTATATGTACAATACAAAGGACTCATTCCTTAAGCCAGGAATTGAACCCTAAACCTGGGCTGCCATTGTGAAAAGAGAAAGCACAAGCACATGGTTACAAACTCAAGCTATCAAGGACATGACTGACCGGTTTGCTGGGCCATCTTAAATAGAGAACCTGTGGGGGTCCTAGGCATGCATTTTATCCTAACGTACCCCTCTTTGTGACCAAACAATACAGATAGACACACAAGGCACACTAGATTGACTACAGCTTAAGACCAGCCTCAGAATTCTTTTTTTGTATTAATCAAAACTTCACAGAGGAGATAAACAGTGACTTTTACCATTCATTTAACCAGTTTGCAAAGAGAAAGAGAGGTCAAAGTGTGACTGGTAAGAAATTGTTACCCTTTTCCTGGTGTTCCAGGTTTCTTGTTTGTATTTCCCTGAGTGACCCTAGCAATCCTGCTCAACTGTATGCAAATACATTCCCATGAATTTACAATATTTACAGATAGTTCATAGATTTTTGAAAAATTAGGCAGAAAGAGAAATATGACTCAAATTCTGTTTATGAAATTATACTCAACACACTTAAAGTATCAGGAAGCCTAAAATCCAAAAAGTTAAAGTTTAAAAAGCTGCTGTGCTCCATTAATTCCTGCAGGTCTGACAAAGGTAGCCCAGAAATTCCAGATAAATGGAACAAATGATTACTTACTAAAAATGCATAGGAAACAAAATAACTATTCACATAACCAAATAAAATCCTTCCCCTAAAAACTAAAAAAATCACGATTTTATTTATATGCATACATAAGCAAGGCCTAGAGGAGGATACACAGCAATGAATAAAAATTGGAAGCCAAAACAAACAGAAAATCAACCCTAAATTTTGAGGCTACAGTGCTACCCAGAGCCTCCCAAAACCCACATAATTAATATTTTATTCCTGGTACACAGTTCAATATCCTTAGGTCCACCAATATCACTATACATTCTATGCGATCAAGAAATTCACTCTAGGCACATGACCAATAAGTACTCTAGGGCCAGCACTGCCCATGTAAAACAGTAAACATAGTGTCAAGCAATGCAAGCATGTATGTGAAATTTAGCTCCACACTAAATCTGGCTTCATGCCTAACTATATTAAAAAATAATAATTGCCAAACTGTCAATGCATTTCTTTACAATATTTTTTATTCAACTTTAATCAAGACTAAGAGCTTTAACTATGAAAATGTTAATTAGCCAAATGTCTCCAATTCTCTATCAGGTTATAAAGAGTATTTTATTATGTAAACTTTTTTCACTTCTTTCTCCCCTACTTACTGGTCCTTACTACATTGTTTCATAAATAACCTTTTCAAATCTGTAATTTGAACTAACTTTTAGATAACTTCCAAATTAGATGAGATTATTGTTTTTCTCACTAATAACAGAACCATTTCTGGTACATTTTGTATACAGAATTATGTGTTAACTAGAACTCTTATCCTTAGTAACCTAAAACTTAAGCGAAATCCTAAAAAGCAAGAAATCCTGAACCATCAGATATGAGCATTTATAGATAAGTATAATTCTACAATTTTTAGAAACACATTTCCCCATATCACAAACTTTTTAAATTGGAAATGACTCAGATATTCAATGAGCATCAAAAATAATTTTAATATTTTAATTTACACAAAAAGTTTACCTAAAACATTTATCTCATTCACTGTACTTTTTTTTTTTTTTTTTTTTTTCTTGAGATGAAGTCTCACTTTGTCACTCAGGCTGGAATGCAGTGGTGTGATCTTGGCTCACTGCAACCTCCACCTCCCAGGTTCAAGTGATTCTGCTGCCTCAGCCTCCTGAGTAGCTGGGATTACAGGCACACACCACCATGCCTGGCTAATTTTTGTCTTTTTAGTAGAGACGAGGATTCACCATGCTGTCCAGGCTGGTCAACAACTCCTGACCTCAAGTAATCTTCCCACCTCAGCCTCCCATAGTGCTGGGATTACAGGCATGAGCCACCATGATAGACCAATTCTTTCACTTTTAACAGTGTATCTAGACTACTTCTGTTTAAAGTTAGTTATTTCCTTGTTAACCATGTTTTTAATAGCCACTGAACATCAGGTGTTCACCTAAACCTAAGTAAGAGCCTCAAATTTAAATGCGTAGGTATTTTGGCCAATAACTCAGAAAATTAAGCTAACATTAAATTATTCTCATTTGTCAAGAAAAAAGGCAGACAAACCGAGATCATTTTGTTTTGTCTGGGTTCATCATTTCTATGCCAAGCACTGACATCTCAGAATATCTAGCAAAGACAAACATAAAATCCAGACAAATATATGCTGACAATTCTGAAGGCATTTCTATTTTTATTTTACCAATAATTTTAAAGCCAGCTTGTTTAGTAAAGTTATACTTAAGTCACGTGAACTTGAAAATTGCGTAAACTTATTTACTTAATTTATGAGCGCTCTTTTACTTATGAAAATGTGCATAGAGCTTGGAGGTATGACTGACAATTTACCAAGTGAAAATGTATTCACTTTTCTTGGGGGTGAATCACATTTTTATGGTGTTATTGTCACACGCGTTCGTGTGAAGAGAGTCCACCAAACAGGCTTTGCGTGAGCAACAAGGCAGTTTATTTCACCTGGGTGCAGGCAGGCTGAGTCCAAAAAAGGAGCCAGCAAAGGGTGGTGGGATTATCATTAGTATAGGTTTGGGATAGGAGTACACAATACATTCTTAAGGGCAGGGGAGAATATTACAAAGTACCTTCTTAAGGGCGGGGGAGAATATATCATATCAGTTAGGGTGGGGCAGGAACAAATCACAGTGGTGGAATGTCATCAGTTAAGGCTATTTTCACTTCCTTTGTGGATCTTCAGTTGCTTCCGGCCATCTGGATGTGTAAGTGCAGGTCACAGGGGATATGATGGCTTAGCTTGGGCTCAGAGGCCTGACAGTTATGAGGTATTGGCTGTTTCACAGAACATAGTTTAATAGTTTTAATTGAGAGAAATATAATGATAGATTTCATGTGCTTGCTTGGAGGACATAGAGTTACTAGTAGATTCCCTAGAAAATGAGGAGGCGCTAGTGAGTAAATAACTGTCAAGTTTCATTTTTGATTATGTTTACTTCTACTCCAAGTTATTAGGTAATTCTGGAAGTTTGTGGATAAAGAAATATTAATAACAAATTTTGAACAATTGGACTAGCTCTATTTCTTTCTCTGACACTGCTGGGTGTCCAAGAAGTTTGTCTTTGCATCTCTTTTTTTTAATGCACTGTTAGATTGAGCTTTCCTTCCCCCGCCACCACCAACCTGAAAAGGAGAAAGATGGTGTGTCATGTGACAATTTAGAACTTTATTTGAGCCTTGTGCTCCTGGAAAGCAGGGACAGTTGAAAATCCCTCACCCCCAAATACCCTTTTGTGTTCTGAACAGCTAACCACAAAGGACCACCTTGCCATGGTGTATTCTGAGAACTAACTGCTTCTGTCCTTCAGATAAGACTCACTGTGCACCTTTTCTCATGGCAGATAAATGGATAAACAAAATGTGGTATATATGCAATGGACTATTATTCAGAATTAAGAAGGAATAAAATTCTGATACATGCTACAACAGGGATAAGCCTTGAAAACATTATGCTAAGTGAAGTCTTACACAAAAGGATGAATATTATATGATTCCACTTGTATAAAGTACCAAGGATAAGCTAATTCTTAGAGATGAAAAGAAGAATAGAGGTTACCAGGAGCTGAAGGGGATAGAATGGGGAGTTCTTGTTTAATAGGTACAGGGGTTCTATTTGGGATGATGAAAATGGATAGTGGCAATGATTGCACAATGTTGTGAATGTCACTTAATTGTAGGCTTAATATTATTAAAATGGTAGATTTCATGTTATGTATATTTTATCACAATAAAAAATTAAAAGTTTAATATGAGATTCTTTATAAACATTTCCAGCAAAGCAAACTTTTAAAAAGCCTATATGATAAATTGCCATTCTTTTTGCATCTATCTAAATAGTCAAATTTAATGATACCAGCCTTATTTCATGGTCAAAAATAATTTTTCTTTGAGATTCACATTGACCAAAAACGGGGCGACTACAGAGATAAATTTTGTGTTTCAATAGAAAACTAAGCATAATCTATAGCACACCATTTGGAGTTATCAATTCTAGCGTTGTTATTTTATCTTTGAGTTATTTGTTACTAATGGGTATGCAAACTCTGACTTGCCTGGTAAAGATTTAATTGAATTGCTTAAAACCTCCTTTTTAGCCACCCCCCGCCCAAATATAGTTTTGGTACCTAACAGTAAATTGGACTAGATTTTAGGTATCCCTTTTTTAAAGATGCCTAGGCGTTAGGACCCTAAAAAACTGACCTTTGCCACATCCTTTCAATAGATGATTCAACCAGTTTTCCAGGAAGAATGCCAACAAAAGTCATTGAGAGACTATTTCATGGACCCTGGTAAAGCGGGCTTTAAATTACTTCTGAGTTGTTCAGTGACAAACTTAATTTGTCTCCAACAAAAGGGAAATTGACAATGTTAAACTTTATCTGAGCCCTGTGTTCTGGGAAATCAATTCAAAACTTTTCTCAAACTGTTTTTTTCCTTTGCTTGTGTATTTTGAGAACTGACTGAGGCAGAAGAATGTGGAGAATGACGCAGGAGAATAGCAAGGGAATTAAAAGTTGGATAAGGGGTGGAATGAGTAAAAGTATTGAGCAGAAGCCAGGTGAAGGGGTGGGTAATCAAGAAGCAAGATAGGAGGTAGAAATTAAGTAGCCAAAACAAAAAAATAAGATAAAGAAGCAAGCAAGGACCCAAAGCAGGCAGAATCCGGACCAGACTAGTAAGGGGCAACTCTTCAGGGATAGGCATGCGCATTAAAGAGAAGAAGTATCCTTAAAATGAATCTGTATGATAATCAGCTCATTTAAGCTCATGCATATGGACTGCATATCTTTCATGTAGTTAAAATTATGGGATAGAGGCACGTGAAAGCACACACCCGCCAAAGTAACTAAGCAACACACCTATCAGTCAAAAGGCAGACACTGGCTAGAGATTAAGCAGCCTTGGGAAGAGAAGGAAAAAAAACACACAAAAGACACAAAGTACACCAAAGTAATGCTGATCACATCTTGCAGAGGTCAGTTCGTTCTCCTTCTCTGAGAGTGTAATACTGTGCTTAATAAACTTTTGCTGCTTGCTTTGCTATCTGTGTGTGTCTCATTCAATTCTTTGTTCGGGACATCAAGTGCCTAGAGCTGCACGGTGGCATCCAGTAACAACCACCTCCACCCTTTAAATAAGACTTATCTACCCTTCCTCAAGACTCCTCTGTCTAACCATCTTTATAAAACTTCAGGCCCCTTTCTTTTTCTTAATTAATAAGTTGATTCTTTGTTGATAAACTTTATATGTATGGCAATAGCCTGAATAAAATAATCTCCTTCAATTGTCTGCTGCATTTTTGACTTTTATACAAGAGAATAAGAACAACCCCTGGGAAAATGTGCAGGTTGTGAAGTTTGTTTTTGGGCCTCACACCTTCCCTTTCAGAACTCAATTAAAGTGGACTCAATAATGCTTACTGAAATGTACTAGTATGTGTACTGATGAATGTATGAATTTTTCTTCCTCTCCTAAATTTACTCTTCTTTTTCTAATCCTTAGCATCTACTTTTTAACCTCAATTTTTGGTAATTTTTGCTACAAATAGACTGACAAGGAATTTCTTCTGCTCTGAGTCACACTTTCATTTTGATAGATTTGGCAAAAGATAAATCTGAGATCCAAAGAATGAAATAGAAGGTCTTTGGCCGTAGTAATGGTGAAGAGAGAGGTTTGGTAGCTGGGTATTCTGTTCCTTAAAGCCTCAAATTCCTCCACAGAGGAGGCTTTTTATTCCACTTATCCTTGAAAATATATCTATATGTAGAAATAATGGCTAGAGAAAGAAAGGGAGTTTGAGTGGAAATGTATGATTCCTATTCATCAGGGTGACTCCAGGACAATTGCCTCTCCAGCCCCAGGACATGTATCTTCATTAGGTGCTCTCCATGATAAAACAATAGAATTATTCAAAGCCTTAGGATGGCCATTTTTAAGCATTTTTGCATGACAATCTTTTTATTTTATTTTATTTTATTTTATTTTATTTTATTTTATTTTATTTTATTTTATTTTATTTTACTTTAAGTTCTGGGATACATGTGGAGAACATGCAGGTTTGTTACATAGGTATACATGCGCCATGGTGGTTTGCTGCACCTATCAACAAGTCATCTAGGTTTTAAGCCCTGCATGCATTAGGTATTTGTCCCAATGCTCTCCCTCCCCTTGCCTCACACCCCCTGAAACATCCTAGTGTGTCATGTTGCCCTCCCTGTGTCCATGTGTTCTCATTGTCTAACTCCCTCTTATGAGTGAGAACATGCAGTGTTTGGTTTTCTGACAATCTTATAAAATAATTTTGATAAACTTTTCTCTCCATTACATATTTTTAGTTTGATATCAAACATTCATTATAAGTTTAAATAGTTGTAGGGGATGCAATTTCTAGTGTATTACAAATATTGAGATTTCTAATAAAAGTTTTACATCATAAATGTAACAAGTGATATCTAACTACCATAGTAATTGGATACACACCATCATCAACTTAGAAAATAAATAAATGAGCTCTTCCTTAACAGTCGGAAAGTTTTTATTGTTCATTTTTCTCTTTGAATTGTATATTTGTTCTATTTTCCCCACATAACTTTAGGCTAATTTAATATATTTATATGCTTGAAGATCTGTTATTTATAATAGCTATTGATATGCAATAAATTAAAATATAACTATGTTATAAAACTTTTAAAACTTATATTTTAATTTCAGGTGTACATATACAGGTTGGTTATATAGGTAAACTCATGCTATGGGAGTTCATTGTACAGATTATTTCATGGCCCATGTATTAATCCTGGTACCCATTAGTTATTCTTCCTGATCCTCTCCTTCCTCCCACACTCCTCCCTCTGATAGGACCAAGTGTGTGTTGTTCCTCTCTATGTATCCATGTGTTCTCATTTAGATTCCACTCTTACAAGTGAGAAAATTCTGTATTTGTTTCACTGTTTCTGCATAAGTTTGCTAAGAATAATGGCCTCCAGCTTCATCCATGTTCCAGCAAAGGACATGATATCATTCTTTCTGTGGCTTTGTAGTATTCTATGGTGTATATACACCATATTTAATGTATCCAGTCTACCACTGATGGGTATTTAGGTTGATTCCATGTCTTTACAATTGTGAATACTGCTACAATGTACATATATGTGCATGTGTCTTTATGATAGAATAATTTATATTACTTTGAGATGGGACTTGAAAAAAAATGGCGGGAGGACTCTAGCCAAGAGGGCCGAATAGGAACACCTCCAGTCTACAGCTCCCAGTGTGAGTGACACAGAGACAAATGATTTCTGCATTTCCAACTGAGGTACTGGGTTCATCTCACTGGGGATTGTTGGACAGTGGGTGCAGCACACCAAGAGTGAGCCGAAGCAGGGTGAGGCATCGCCTCACCTGGGAAGAACAAGGGGTCAGGGAATTCCCTTTCATAGCCAAGGAAAGGGGTGACAGACAGCACCAGGAAAGTTGGGTCACTCCCACCCTAATACTGTGCTTTTCTGATGGTCTTAGCAAACGGCACACCGGGAGATTATATCCCACACCTGGCTCGGAGGGTCCTAAGCCCATGGTGTCTCACTCATTGCTAGCACAGCAGCCTGAGATCAAACTGCAAGGTGGCAGTGAGGCTGGGGGAGGGGTGCCCGCCATTGCTGAGGCTTGAGTAGGTAAACAAAGCAGCTGGGGAGCTCAAACTGGGTGGAGCCCACTGCAGCTCAAGGAAGCCTGCCTGCCTCTTGTAGACTCCACCTCTGGGGGCAGGGCATAGCCAAGCAAAAGGCAGCAGAAGCCTCTGAAGACTTAAATGTCCCTGTCTGACAGCTTTGAAGAGAGTAGTGGTTCTCTCAGCACACAGCTTGAGATCTGAGAATGGACAGAGTGCCTCCTCAAGTGGGTCCTTGACCTCTGAGAAGCCTAACTGGGAGGCACCCCCAGTAGGGGCAGACTGACACCTCACACGGCCAGGTACTCCTCTGAGTCAAAACTTCCAGAGGAAAGATCAGGCAGCTACATTTGCTGTTCACCAATATTCGCTGTTCTGCAGCCTCTGCTGCTGATATCCAGGCCAACAGGGTCTGGAGTGGACCTCCAGCAAACTCCAACAGACCTGCAGCTGAGGGTCCTGACTGTTAGAAGGAAAACTAACAAACAGAAAGGACATCCACACCAAAACCCCATCTGTTCGTCACCATCATCAAAGACCAAAGGTAGATAAAACCACAAAGATAGGGAAAAAACAGAGCAGAAAAACTGAAAATTCTAAAAATCAGAGCGCCTTTCCTCCTCCAAACAAATGCAGCTCCTCACCAGCAATGGAACAAAGATGGATGGAGAATGACTTTGATGGGTTGAGAGAAGAAGGATGATCAAACTACTCTGAGCTAAAGGAGGAAGTTCGAACCCTTCGCAAAGAAGTTAAAAACCTTGAAAAAAGATTAGACGAATGGCTAACTATCTACCAGAGGTACAAGGAGGAGCTGGCTGGTACCATTCCTTCTGAAACTATTCCAATCAATAGAAAAAGATGGAATCCTCCCCAACTCATTTTATGAGGCCAGCATCATCCTGATCCCAAAGCCTGGCAGAGACACAACAAAGAAGAGAGAATTTTAGACCAATATCCCTGATGAACATCGGTGCAAAAATCCTCAATAAAATACTGGCAAACCGAATCCAGCAGCACATCAAAAAGCTTATCCACCAAGATCAAGTGGGCTTCATCCCTGGGATGCAAGGCTGGTTCAACATATGCAAATCAATAAATGTAATCCAGCATATAAACAGAACCAAAGACAAAAACCACATGATTATCTCAATAGATGCAGAAAAGGCCTTTGACAAAATTCAACAGCCCTTCATGCTAAAAACTCTCAATAAATTAGGTATTGATGGGACATAGCTCAAAATAAGAAGAGCTATTTATGACAGACCGACAGCCAATATCATACTGAGTGGGCAAAAACTGGAAGCATTCCCTTTGAAAACTGGCACAAGACAGGGATGCCCTCTCTCACTACTCCTATTCAACATAGTGTTGGAATTTCTGGCCAGGGCAATGAGGCAGGAGAAAGAAATACAGGGTATGCAATTAGGAAAAGAGGGAGTCAAATTGTCCCTGTTTGCAGATGACATGATTGTATATCTAGAAAACCCCATCATCTCAGCCGAAAATCTCCTTAAGCTGATAAACAACTTCAGCAAAGTCTCAGGATACAAAATCAATGTGCAAAAATCACAAGCATTCTTATACACCAATAACAGACAAACAGAAAGTCAAATCATGAGCGAACTCCCATTCACAGTTGCTTCAAAGAGAATAAAATACCTAGGAATCCATCTTACGAGGGATGTGAAAGTCCTTTTCAAGGAGAACTACAAACCACTGCTCAATGAAATAAATTAGGATACAAACAAATGGAAGAACATTCCATGCTCATGGGTAGGAAGAATCAATATCGTGAAAATGGTCATACTGCCCAAGGTAATTTATAGATTCAATGCCATCCCCATCAAGCTACCAATGACTTTCTTCACAGAATTGGAAAAAACTACTTTAAAGTTCATATGGAACCAAAAAAGAGCCCGCAATGCCAAGTCAATCCTAAGCCAAGAGAACAAAGCTGGAGGCATCACGCTACGTGACTTCAAACTATACTACAAGCCTACAGTAACCAAAACAGCATGGTAGTGGTACCAAAACAGAGATATAGACCAATGGAACAGAACAGAGCCCTCAGAAATACTACCACACATCTACAACCATCTGATCTTTGACAAACCTGACAAAAACAAGAAATGGGAAATGGATTCCTTATTTAATATTTAAATTAAATGGTGCCGGGAAAACTGGCTAGCCATATGTAGAAAGCTGAAACTGGATCCCTTCCTTACACCTTATGCAAAAATTAATTCAAGATGGATTAAAGACTTACATGATATATCTAAAACCATAAAAACCATAGAAGAAAACCTAGGCAATACCATTCAGGGCATAGGCATGGGCAAGGACTTCATGTCTAAAACACCAAAAGCAATGGCAACAAAAGCCAAAATTGACAAATGGGCTCTAATTAAACTAAAGAGTTTCTGCACAGCAAAAGAAACTTCTATCAGAGTGATCAGGCAACCTACAGAATGGGAGAAAATTTTTGCAATCTACTTATCTGACAAAGAGCTAATATCCAGAATCTACAAAGAACTCAAACAAATTTACAAGAAAAAAACAAACAACCCCATCAACAAGTGGGTGAAGGATATGGACAGACACTTCTCAAAAGAAGACATTTATGCAGCCAAAAGACACATGAAAAAACGCTCATCATCACTGGCCATCAGAGAAATGCAAATCAAAACCACAATGAGATACCATCTCACACCAGTTAGAAAGGCGATCATTAAAAAGTCAGGAAACAACAGGTGCTGGAGAGGATGTGGAGAAACAGGAACACTTTTACACTGTTGGTGGGACTGTAAACTAGTTCTTTTTTAAAAAATTTTATTTTATTATTATTATACTTTAAGTTTTAGGGTTCATGTGCACAACGTGCAGGTTTGTTACATATGTATACACGTGCCATGTTGGTGTGCTGCACCCATCAACTCGTCATTTAGCATTAGGTATATCTCCTAATGCTATCCCTCCCCCCTCCCCCCACCCCACAACCGTCCCCAGTGTGTAATGTTCCCCTTCCTGTGTCCATGTGTTCTCATTGTTCAATTCCCACCCATGAGTGAGAACATGTGTTGTTTGGTTTATTGTCCTTGTGATAGTTTGCTGAGAATGATGGTTTCCAGCTTCATCCACGTCCCTACAAATGACATGAACTCACTATTTTTTATAGCTGCATAGTATTCCATGGTGTATATGTGCCACATTTTCTTATTCCAGTCTATCATTGTTCATCATTTGGGTTGGTTCCAAGTCTTTGCTATTGTGAATAGTGCTGCAATAAACATATGTGTGCATGTGCCTTTATAGCAGCATGATTTATCATCCTTTGGGTATATACCCAGTAATGAGATGGCTGGGTCCAATGGTATTTCTAGTTCTAGATCCCTGATGAATCACCACACTGACTTCCACAATGGTTGAACTAGTTTACAGTCCCACCAACAGTGTAAAAGTGTTCCTATTTCTCCACATCCTCTCCAGCACCTGTTGTTTCCTGACTTTTTAATGATCACCATTCTAACTGGTGTGAGATGGTATCTCATTGTGGTTTTGATTTGCATTTCTCTGATGGCCAGTGATGATGAGCAATTTTTCATGTGTTTTTCCCTGCATAAATGTCTTCTTTTGAGAAGTGTCTGTTCATATCCTTCGCCCACTTGCTGATGGGGTTGTTTTTTTCTTGTAAATTTGTTTGCATTCATTGTAGATTCTGGATATTAGCCCTTTGTCAGATGAGTAGGTTGCAAAAATTTTCTCCCATTCTGTAGATTGCCTGTTCACTCTGATGGTAGTTTCTTTTGCTGTGCAGAAGCTCTTTAATTTAATTAGATCCCATTTGTCAATTTTGGCTTTTGTTGCCATTGCTTTTGGTGTTTTGGATATGAAGTGCTTGCCCATGCCTATGTCCTGAATGGTGTTGCCTAGGTTTTCTTCTATGTTTTTTATGGTTTTAGGTCAAACATTTAAGTCTTTAATCCATCTTGAATTAATTTTTGTATAAGGTACAAGGAAGGGATCCAGTTTCATCTTTCTACATATGGCTAGCCAGTTTTCCCAGCACCATTTATTAAATAGGGAATCCTTTCCCCATTTCTTGTTTTTGTCAGGTTTATCAAAGATCAGATAGTTGTAGATATGCAGCATTATTTCTGAGGGCTCTGTTCTGTTCCATTGGTCTATTTCTCTGTTTTGGTACCAGTACCATGCTGTTTTGGTTACTGTAGCCTTGTAGTATAATTTGAAGTCAGGTAGCATAATGCCTCCGGCTTTTTTCTTTTGGCTTAGGATTGACTTGGCAATGCAGGCTCTTTTTTTGTTCCATATGAACTTTAAAGTGATTTTTTCCAATTCTGTGAAGAAAGTCATTGGTAGCTTGATGGGGATAGCATTGAATCTATAAATTACCTTGGGCAGTATGACCATTTTCACAATATTGATTCTTCCTACCCATGAGCATGGAATGTTCTTCCGTTTTTTTGTATCCTAATTTATTTCATTGAGCAGTGGTTTGTAGTTCTCCTTGAAGAGATCCTTTATATCCCTTGTAAGTTGGATTCCTAGGTATTTTATTCTCTTTGAAGCAATTGTGAATGGGAGTTCACTCATGATTTGGCTCTCTGTTTGTCTGTTATTGGTGTATAAGAATGCTTGTGATTTTTGCACATTGATTTTGTATCCTGAGACTTTGCTGAAGTTGCTTATCAGCTTAAAGAGATTTTGTGCTGAGACGATGGGGTTTTCTAGATATACAATCATGTCATCTGCAAACAGGGACAATTTGACTTCCTCTTTTCCTAAATGAATGCCCTTTATTTCCTTCTCCTGCTTGATTGCCCTGGCCAGAACTTCCAACACTATGTTGAATAGGAGTAGTGAGAGAGAGCATCCCTGTCTTGTGCCAGTTTTCAAAGGGAATGCTTCCAGTTTTGCCCATTCAGTATGATATTGGCTGTGGGTTTGTCATAGATAGCTCTTATTATTTTGACATACGTCCCATCAATACCTAATTTATTGAGAGTTTTTCCATGAAAGGTTGTTGAATTTTGTCAAAGGCCTTTTCTGCATCTATTGAGATAATCATGTGGTTTTTGTCTTTGGTTCTGTTTATATGCTGTATTATGTTTCTTGATTTTCGTATGTTGAATCAGCCTTGCATCCCTGGGATGAACCCCACTTGGTCATGGTGGATAAGCTTTTTGATGTGTTGCTGGTTTCGGTTTACCAGTATTTTATTGTGGATTTTTGCATCAATGTTCATCAAGGATATTGGTCTGAAATTCTCTTTTTTTGTTGTGTCTCTGCCAGGCTTTGGTATCAGGATGATGCTGGCCTCATAAAATGAGTTAGGGAGGATTCCCTCTTTTTCTATTGATTAGAATAGTTTTGGAAAGAATGGTACCAGCTCCTCCTTGTACCTCTGGTAGAATTCGCCTGTGAATCCATCTGGTCCTGGACTTTTTTTGGTTAGTAAGCTATTAATTATTGCCTGAATTTCAGATCCTGTTATTGGTCTATTCAGAGATTCAAATTCTTCCTGGTTTAGTCTTTGGAGGCTGTATGTGTCGAGGAATTTATCCATTTCTTCTAGATTTTCTAGTTTATTTGCATAGAGGTATTTAGAGTATTCTCTGATGGTAGTTTGTATTTCTGTGGGATGGGTGGTGATATCCCCTTTGTCAGTTTTTATTGCGTCTATTTGATTCTTCTCTCTTTTCTTCTTTATTAGTCTTGCTAGAGGTCTATCAATTTTGTTGATCTTTTCAAAAAACCAGCTACTGGATTCATTGGTTTTTTGAAAGGTTTTTTGTGTCTCTATCTCCTTCAGTTCTGCTCTGATCTTAGTTATTTCTTGCCTTCATCTGAATTTTAAAATAGGTTTTTTTCTAGTTCTGTGAAGAATTTCATTGGCAGTTTGATAGGAATAGCATTAAATCTGTAAATTGCGTTGGGCAGTATAGCCATTTTAATAATATTGATTATTCCTTTCCATGTTCATGGGATGTTTTCCCCTGTGCTTTTTGTCTTTTCTGATTTCTTTGAGCAGCTTTTTGTAATTCTCATTGTAGAGATCTTTTGTCACCCTGGTTAGCTGTATCCTAGGTATTTTATTCCTAGGTGTTCCTAGGATTACCTTTCTGATTTGGTTCTCATCTTGGTTGTTGTTGATGTACAAAATTACTAGTGATTTTCATACATTGATTTTGTATCCTGAAACTTTGCTGAAGTTGTTTATGAGCTGAAGAACCTTCTGGGTCAAAACTTTTTTTTTAATGATATAGAATCATATCATCTACAAATTGAAATAGTTTGACTTTGCCTCTTTCTATTTGGATGCCATTTATTTCTTTCTCTTGCCTGATTGCTCTGGCTAGGACTTCCACTACTATGTGAAATAGGAGAGGTTAGAGAAAGCATCATTGTCTTGTGCTGGATTTCAAGGGGAATGCTTTCTGCTTTTGGCCACTCAGTATTATGTTTACTGTGGGTTTGAAATAATTGACTGTGGGTTTGCCATGGCTCATTATATTGAGGTATGTTTCTTCAATACTTAGTTTATTGAGAGTTTTTAACATGAAGAGGTGTTGAATTTTATTGAAAGCCTATTCTGCCTCTATTGAGATAATCATGTGGTTTTTTTGTTTAGTTGTGTTTATGTCATGAATCACATTTATTGGTTTGTGTCTGTTGAACCAACATTGCATCCCAGAGATGAAGCCTGCTTGTGATGGATTAGCGTCTTGGTGTGTTGCTGTATTTGATTTGCAAGTATTTTGTTGAAGATTTTTCATCTGTGTTAATCAAGAATATTGGCCTGAAGTTTTATTTTCTTATGTCTCTGCTAGGTTTTAGTATCAGGATGATACTGGCCTCATAAAATGAGTTGGGGAGGAGTCCCATCTCTTCAATTCTTTCGGAATAGTTTCGGTAAGAATGGTATTAGCTCTTTGTACATCTGGTAGAATTCGTCCTGAATCTATTGGTTCCTGGGCTTTTTTTTTTTTTTTTTTTTTTTTTTGCTGGTAGGTTATTTATTACTGATTCAATATTGGAGTTTGTTATTGGTCTGTTCATGGAATTAATTTATTCCTGGTTCAGTCTTTTTTTATTTTATTTTATTTTATTTATTTATTTATTTATTTTTATTGATCATTCTTGGGTGTTTCTCGCAGAGGGGTATTTGGCAGGGTCATAGGACAATAGTGGAGGGAAGGTCAGCAGATAAACAAGTGAACAAAGGTCTCTGGTTTTCCTAGGCAGAGGACCCTGCGGCCTTCCGCAGTGTTTGTGTCCCTGGGTACTTGAGATTAGGGAGTGGTGATGACTCTTAACGAGCGTGCTGCCTTCAAGCATCTGTTTAACAAAGCACATCTTGCACCGCCCTTAATCCATTTAACCCTGAGTGGACACAGCACATGTTTCAGAGGGCACAGCGTTGGGGGTAAGGTCACAGATCAACAGGATCACAAGGCAGAAGAATTTTTCTTAGTACAGAACAAAATGAAAAGTCTCCCATGTCTACCTCTTTCTACACAGACACGGCAACCATCCGATTTCTCAATCTTTTCCCCGCCTTTCCCCTCTTTCTATTCCACAAAACCACCATTGTCATCATGGCCCGTTCTCAATGAGCTGTTGGGTACACCTCCCAGACGGGGTGGTGGCCGGGCAGAGGGGCTCCTCCTTTCCCAGTAGGGGCGGCCGGGCAGAGGCGCCCCTCACCTCCCAGACAAGGCAGCTGGCCGGGTGGGGGGCTGACCCCTCCACCTCCCTCCCGGACGGGGTGGCTGGCCAGGCGGGGGGCTGACCCCCCCACCTCCCTCCTGGACGGGGCGGCTGGCCGGGCGGGGGTGCTGACCCCCCCACCTCCCTCCCAGAAGGGGCGGCTGGCCGGGCGGGGGGCTGACCCCCCCACCTCCCTCCCAGACGGGGCGGCTGGCCGGGCAGAGGGGCTCCTCACTTCCCAGTAGGGGCGGCCGGGCAGAGGCGCCCCTCACCTCCCGGACAGGGTGGCTGGCCGGGCGGGGGGCTGACGCCCCCACCTCCCTCCCGGACGGGGTGGCTGGCCGGGTGGGGGGCTGACCCCCCCACCTCCCTCCGGGATGGGGTGGCTGCTGGGTGGAGACACTCCTCACTTCCCAGACGGGGCAGCTGCCGGGCTGAGGGGCTCCTCACTTCTCAGACGGGGCGGCTGCCGGGTGGAGGGGCTCCTCACTTCTCAGATGGGGCGGTTGCCAGGCGGAGGGTCTCCTCGCTTCTCAGACGGGGCGGCCGGGCAGAGATGCTCCTCACCTCCCAGACGGGGTCGCGGCCGGTTAGAGGCGCTCCTCACATCCCAGACGGGGCGGCGGGGCAAAGGCGCTCCCCACATCTCAGATGATGGGCGGCCGGGCAGAGACGCTCCTCACTTCCTAGATGGGATGGCGGCTGGGAAGAGGCGCTCCTCACTTCCTAGATGGGATGGCAGTGGGGCAGAGATGCTCCTCACTTTCCAGACTGGGCAGCCAGGCAGAGGGGCTCCTCATGTCCCAGACAATGGGCGGCCAGGCAGAGACGCTCCTCACTTCCCAGATGGGGTGGCAGCCGGGCAGAGGCTGCAATCTCGGCACTTTGGGAGGCCAAGGCAGGCGGGTGGGAGGTGGAGGTTGTAGCCAGCCGAGATCACGCCACTGCGCTCCAGCCTGGGCACCATGGAGCACTGAGTGAACCAGACTCCGTCTGCAATCCCGGCAATTCGGGAGGCTGAGGCTGGCAGATCACTCGCTGTTAGGAGCTGGAGACCAGCCCGGCCAACACAGCGAAACCCCGTCTCCACCAAAAAAATACGAAAACCAGTCAGGCGTGGCGGCGCGCGCCTGCAATCACAGGCACTCGGCAGGCTGAGGCAGGAGAATCAGGCAGGGAGGTTGCAGTGAGCCGAGATGGCAGCAGTACAGTCCAGCTTTGGCTTGGCATCAGAGGGAGACCGTGGAAAGAGGGGAGAGGGAGAGGGAGAGGGAGAGGGAGCGGGAGCGATACAGAAGTTTTTCTCTCCTGGTTCAGTCTTGACAAAGTGTATGCTTCCAGGAATTTATCCTTCTCTTCTAGGGTTTCTAGTTTTTGTGCATAGAGGTTTCATAGTAGTTTCTGATGGTTATTTTTGTTTCTGTGGTGTCAGTGGCAATACTCCCTTTGTCATTTCTAATTGTGTTTATTTGGATCTTCTCTCTTTTATTCTTTATTAGCCTAGCTAGTGGCCTATTTGTCTTCCTGCCCCCCCCAAAAAAAACACCTCCTGAATTTGTGCAATTTTTGAATGTTTTTTCATGTCTTGATTTTCTTTAGTTCAGCTCTGAATTAAGTTATTTCTTGTCTTCTGCTATCTTTGGGGTTGATTTCTTCTTGCTTCTCTAATTCTTTCAGTTGTGACATTAGGTAGTTAATTTGAGATCTTTCTAACTTTTTTATGTGTGTATTTAGTGCTATGAAGTTTTCTTTTAACACTCCCTTAGCTGTGTCCTAAAGATTCTGGGATGTTGTATCTTTGTTCTTATTAGTTTCAAAGAACGTCTTAATTTCTGCCTTAATTTCATTATTTACCCAAAGATCATTCAGGAGTATGTTGTTTAATTTCCATACAATTACACAGATTGGAGAACTTTTCTTAATTTTTTAAAGTGGGCATCATTTATTTTATTTTATTTTAATTTCAACAGTTTTTGGGGAACAGGTCATTTTTGGTTACATGGATAAGTTCTTTAGTGGCAATTTCTGAGATTTTGGTGCACCCATCACCCAAGCAGTGTACCCTGTACCCAGTGTATAATCTTTTATCCTCACCTCCTTTTCACTTTTTTCTCCAAGTACTGAAAGTCCATTATATCATTTTTATGCCTTTACATCCTCATAGCTTAGCTGCTACTTATTTGTGAGAACACACAATATTTAGTTTTCCATTCCTGAGTTACTTCACTTAGAATAATGGTCTCCAACTTTATCCAACTTGCTATAAACGTCATTATTTTGTTTCTTTTTATGGCTAGGTAGTATCCTATGGTGTATATATACCAGATTTTCCTTATCCACTCGTTGGTTGATTGACATTTAAGATGGTTCTATATTTTTTACAATTGCAAATTGTGCTGCTATAAATGTGTGTGCAAGTGTATTTTTCATATAATGACTTCTTTTCCTCTGGGTAGATACCCAGAAGTGGGATTGCTAGATCAAATGGTAGTTCTACTTTTAGTATTTTAAGGAATTTTCATAATCTTTTTCATAGTGATTGTACTAGTTTACATTCCCACCAGCAGCGTACAGGTGTTCCCTTTTCAGCACATTCACACCAATATGTATTATGTTTTTTTTTTATTTATGGACATTCTTAGAGAAGTAAGATGATATTTCACTGTGGTTTTAATTTGCATTTACCTGACAATTAGTGACGTTAATCATTTGTATATATTTTTTGAGAATTGTCTATTCATGTCCTTTGCCCACTTTTTGATAGAGTTGTTTTTTTCTTGCTGGTTTGCTTGCATTCCTTGTAGATTCTGGCTATTAGTCTTTTGTCAAATGCATAGTTTGTAAATATTTTCTCCCATTTTATGGTTCGTCTGTTTACTCTGCTGATTATTTCTTTTGGTGTACAGAAGCTCTTTAGTTTAATTAGGTTCCATCTGTTTATATTTGTTCCTATTGCATTTGCTCTTGGGTTCCTGGTCATAAACTCTTGGCCTAAGCCAATGTCTAGAAGAGTTTTTCCAATGCTATCTTCTAAAATTTTTATAGTTTCAGGTCTTAGATGTAAGTCTTTGGATCATCTTGAGTTGATTTTTATACAAGGTGAGGGTGAGGATTCAGTTTTATTTTTTTACATGTGGCTTGCCAACTATCTAAGCAGCATTTGTTTAAGAGGATATCCTTTCCCCACTTTTTGTTTTTGTTTGCTTTGTTGAATTTGTGAACCTCCAAACTTTGAGACAGGTCTCAAATAATTTAGAAAGTTTATTTTGCAAAGGTTGAGAATGTGCCCATAACACAGCTTCGGGAAGTCCTGATGACATGTGCCCAAGGTGGTCAGGGCACAGATTGGTTTTATACATTTTAGGGAGACATGAGACATCCATCAATATGTAAGAAACACATTAGTTTCATCTAGAAACAAGCCTCCCACCAATTGGGTGTCTCCTGGTCATATGTAGGTGAAAGACAGATGGCTGCATTCTTTGAGTTTATGATAAGTCTTTCCAAAGGAGGCAATCAGAATCTGCATCTATCTCTGTGAGCAAAGGGTTAGGTTGAATAGGAGGCAGACTTGCCCTGAGTGGTTCCCAGCTTGAAGGGCCCAAGATATTTTTCTTTCACAATTCCCCCTTTTTCTTTTTAACAATTTTTTGGAGAAAGCATTTTACAAGAAAATGAGTCTCTGTCTCAGATTTCATCTGATCTGTCATGCATAAGATGGTTTATTTTTAGATGAATAGGTCCAGAAAGCTCATTTTTAGCAGGTGGTGGAGTCTCATGTCCTATGAAGAGAAAATAGGAGGAAGAAAAAGAGATAAAACAACAAGAAAAGAACAGTCTTGGACAAATCAATATAGGCCACATTACTCTGAAAGCCATACATTAGTAAGCAGGTATAAAAGTGGCTTATGTATATAAATAGATTATTGTTATTTTCTTCAGAAGTTTAAGTTGCCTGGCTTCGGTTCACAGGGTTTTAAAAAACCACGGCTTAGTTTTCAGTGACCCCAAATTATGAAAAATGAAAAAGATAAGAAAAAAATGGAAACATTTTGAACAGTTGTAGCCAAGAAAAATTAGAATTTGGTCCAAACTGTAGAAAATAATTAAAAAAATGAAAAAAAACCCTATTAGGCAAGACTAGAATCTAACAACAGGTGTACAATTGTTTTTAAACATAATTTATTCTCTCTCCAGTTTCCCATTTTACTAAAGACAAATAATGGTAGGACTGGTTTGCTTATTATATTTAGCCTAAATATTTGTATACAGTGCAGCAAGAATATTTTTTACATAGGCTTTTAAATTGGCTTTGATGGATTCCTGGGCAAGATGGCCAAATAGGAAATGCTCTGGTCTGCAGCTCCCAGTAAGATCAGTACAGAAGGTGGGTGATTTCTGCATTTCAAACTGAGGTACACTGTTCATCTCACTGGGACTGGTTAGACAGTGGTTGCAGCCCATGAAGGGCAAGCAGAAGTAGGGTGGGGTGTCGCCTCATCCAAGAAGTGCAAGGGGCTGGGGAACTCCCTCCCTTAACCAAGGGAAGTAGTGAGAGACTGTGCCATGAGGGACAGTGCTATCCAACTCAGATACTACGCTTTTCTCATGGTTTTTGCAACCCGCAGACCAGGAGATTCTCTCCTGTGTCTAGACCACCCAGGCCCTGGGTTTCAAGCACAAAACTGGATGGCTGTTTGGAGAGACACTGAGCTAGCTGCAGGAGTTTTTTTTTTGTCACACCTCAGTTGGGCCTGGAAACCCAGCGAGACAGAACCTTTCACTCCCCTGGAAAGGGAGCTGAAATCAGGGAGCCAAATGATCTCGTTGAGTGGGTCCCATTCCCATGGAGCCCAGCAAGCTAAGAACAACTGGATTGAAATTATTGCTGCCAGCACAGCGGTCTGAAGTCAACTTAGGACAATCGAGTTTGGTGGGGGGAGGGGCGTTCACCATTATTTAGGCTTGAGAAAGTGGTTTTCCTGTCACAGAATTAAGGGAGCCGCTGGAAAGTTCACACTGTGTGGAATTCACTGCAGCACAGCCAGTCAGCTGTGGCCAGACTGCCTCTCTAGATCCCTCCTCAATGGTCAGGGCATCTCTGAAAGAAAGGCAGCAGCCCCAGTCAGGGGCTTATACATAAAACTCCCATCTCCCTGGGACAGAGCACCTGGGGGAAGGGGCGGCTGTGGGCACAGCTTCAGCACACTTAAACATTCCTGCCTGCCAGCTCTGAAGAGGGCAGCAGATCTCCCAGCACAGCACTCAAGCTCTGCTAAGGGACAGACTTCCTCCTCAAGTGGGTCCCTGACCCCCATGCCTCCTGACTGGGAAACACGTCCCAGCAAAGGTCGACAGACACTTAATACAGGAGAACTCTGGCTGGCATCATGCAGGTGCCCCTCTGGGATGAAGCTTCCAGAGGAAGATGCAAGCAGCAATCTTTGCTGTTCTGCAGCCTCCACTGGTGATACCCAGGCAAATATGACCTGGAGTGGACCTCCAGCAAACTCCAGCAGACTTGCAGAAGACAGCCTGACTGTTAGAAGGAAAACCAACAAACAGAAAGCAATAACATTAACATCAACAAAAAGGATGCCCACACAAAAAACGCATCCAAAAGTAATCAACATCAAGATCAAAGGTAGATAAATCCATGAAGATGAGGAAAAACCAACACAAAATGGCTGAAAATTCCAAAAACCAGAATGCCTCTTCTCCTCTAAATGATCACATCTCTTCTCCAGCAAGGGCACAAGACTGAACGGAGAATGAGTTTGATGAACTGACAGAAATAGGCTTCAGAAATTGGGCAATAACAAACTCCTCTTAGCTAAAGGAGCATGTTCTAACCCAATGCAAGGAAGCTAAGAACCTTGATAAAAGGTTACAGGAACTGCTAACTACAATAACCAGTTTAGAAAAGAACATAAATGAACTGATGGAGCTGAGAAACACAGCATGAGAACTTTGAAGCATACTCAAGTATCAATAGCTGAATCAATCAAGCAGAAGAAAGAATATTAGAAATTGAAAATCAACTTAATGAAAAAAAATCATGAAGAGAATATTAGAGAAAAAAGAATGAAAAGGAGCAAACAAAGCCTCCAGGCAATATGGGACTATGTGAAAAGACCAAACTTACGTTTCATTGGTGTGCCTGAAAGTGATGAGGAGAATGGAACCAAGTTGGAAAACACACTTCAGGATATTATCCAGGAAAACTTCCCCAAACTAGCAATATGGCCTACATTCAAATTCAGGAAATAAAGAGAACACCACTAAGATACTCCTCGAGAAGAGCAACACGAAGACACATAGTTGTCAGATTCTCCAAAGTTGAAATGAAGAAGAAAATGTTAAGGTCAGCCAGAGATAAAAGTCAGGTTACCTACAAAGGGAAGCCCATCAGACTAACAGCAGATCTCTCTGCAGAAACCCTATAAGTCAGAAGAGAGTAGGGGCCAATATTCAACATTCATAAAGAATGTTTAACCCAGAATTCCATATCCAGCCAAACTAAGCTTCATAAGTGAAGGAGAAATAAAATGTTTTCCAAACAAGCAAATGCTGAGGGATCGTGTCACTCCCAGGCCTGCCTTACAAGAGTTCCTGCAGAAAGCACTAAATATGAAAAGGAAAAACCGGTACCAGCCACTGGAAAAACACACCAAAATATAAAGACCAATGACACTATGAAGAAACTGCATCAACTAATGTGCAAAATAACTAGCTAGCATCATGAGGACAGGATCAAATTGACACATAACAATATTAACCTTGAATGTAAATGGGCTAAATGCCCCAATTAAAAGACATAGACTGGAAAATTGGATAAAGAGACCCTTGATGTGCTGTATTCAGGAGACCCATCTCAGGTGCAAAGACACATATAGGCTCAAATTAAAAGGATGAAGGAATATTTACCAAGCAAATAGAAAGCAAAATAAAGCAGGGGTTCCAATCCTAGTCTCTGATAACACAGACTTTAAGCCAACAAAGATCAAAAAAGACAAAGAATAACATTACATAGCGGTAAAGGGATCAATGCAACTAGAAGAGCTAACTATCCTAAATATATATGCACCTAATACAGGAGCACCCAGATTCATAAAACAAGTTTGTAGAGGCCTACAAAGGGACTTAAACACCCACACAATAATAATGGGAGACTTTAACACCCCACTGTCAATATTAGACTGATCAACGAGACAGAAAATTAAGCAGGATATTGAGGACTTGAACTCAGCTCTGACCAAGAGGACCTAATGGACATCTACAGAGCTCTCCACCCCAAATCAACAGAATATACATTCTTCTCAGCACCATATATCACTTACTCTAAAATAGACCACATAATTGGAAGTGAAACACTCCTCAGGAAATTCAAAAAACGGAAATCCTAACAAACAGTCTCTCAGACTGCAGTGCAATCAAATTAGAACTCAGGATTAACAAACTCACTTAAAATCACAAAACTACATGGAAACTGAACAACCTGCTCCTGAACGACTACTGGGTAAATAACGAAATAAAGGCAGAAATAAATAAGTTCTTTGAAACCAATGAGGACAAAGAGGCAACGTACCAGAATCTCTGGGACACAGCTAAAGCAGTGTTTAGAGGGAAATTTATAGCACTAAATGCCCACATCAGAAAGCGAGAAAGATCTAAAATCAACACTCTAACAAACATCACAATTAAAAGAACTAGAGAAGAAAGAGCAAACAAATTCAAAAGGTAGCAGAAGAGAAGAAATAACTAAAATCAGAGCAGAACTGATGGAGATAGACCTGAAAAACCCATCAAAAAATCAATGAATCCAGGAGCTGTTTTTTCAAAAAAGATTAACAAAATAGATAGACTGCTAGCCAGACTAATAATGAAGAAAAGGGAGAAGAATCAAATAGACACAATAAAAAATGATAAAGGGGATATCACCACTGATCACACAGAAAGACAAACTACCATCGGAGAGTACTGTTAACACCTCTACGCAAATAAACTAGAAAATCAAAAAGAAATGGATAAATTCCTGGACACACACACACCCTCCCAAGACTAAACCAGGAGGAAGTCAAATCCCTGAATAGATCAATAACAAGTTCTGTAATTTAGGCAGTAATTAATAGCCTACCAACCAAAAAAAAAAAAAAAAAGCCCAGGACCAGACGGATTCACAGCTGAATTCCACCAGTGGTACAAAGAGAAGCTGGCACCATTCCTTCTGAAACTATTCCAAACAAAAAAGTGGGACTCCTCTGCAGCTCATTTTATGAGGCCAGCATCATCCAGTTACCAAAATTTGGCAGAGAAAGAACAAAAAAAGAAAATTTCAAGGCAATATCCCTGATGAACATCAATTCAACAATTCTCAATAAAATACTGGCAAACTGTATCCAGCAGCACATCAAAAAGCTTATCCACCACAATCAAGTTGGCTTCATTCCTTGGATGCAAGGCTGGTTCAACATACACAAATCAATAAATGTAATCCATCACATGAACAGAACCAATGACAAAAAACACATGATTATCTTAATAGATGCCGAAAAGGCCTTCAATAAAATTCAATACCCCTTCATGCTAAAAACTCTCAATAAACTAGGTATTGATGGAGCGGATTTCAAAATAATAAGAGTTATTTATGACAAACCCATAGCCAAAATCATACTGAATGGGCAAAAGCTAGAAACATTCCCTTTGAAAACTGGCACAAGACAAGGATGCTCTCTCTCTCCACTCCTATTCGACGTAGCATTGGAAGTTCTGGCTAGAGCAATCAAGCAAGAGCAAGAAATAAAGGGTATTCAAATAGAAAGAGAGAAAGTCAAATTGTCTCTGTTTTCAGATGACACGATTGTATATTTAGAAAACCCCATCATGTCAGCCCAAAAACTCCTTAAGCTGATAAGCAACTTCAGCATAGTCTCAGGATACAAAATCAATGTGCAAAAATCACAAGCATTCCTATACACCAATAATAGACAGACAGAGAGCCAAATCATGAGTGAGCTCCCATTCACAATTGCTACAAAGAAAATAAAATACCCAGGAATACAACTTAGAAGAGACTTGAAGGACCTCTTCAAGAAGAACTACAAACCACTGCTCAAGGAAATCAGAGAGGACACAAACAAATAGAAAAACATTCCATGCTCATGGATAGGAAGAATCAATATCGTGAAAATGGGCATACTGATGAAAGCAATGTATAGATTCAATGCTATTCCCATAAAGCTACCATTGACTTTCTTCACAAAACTAGAAAACACTACTTTAAGTTTCATATGGAACCAAAAAATAGCCCGTGTAGCCAAGACAATCCTAAGCAAAAAGGAAAAAGCTGGAGGCATCACACTACCCAACTTCAAGGTATACTACATGGCTACAGTAATCAAAACAGCATGGTACTGGTACCAAAACGGGTATATAGAACAGTGGAACAGAACAGAGGCCTCAGAAATAACACCTCACATCTACAACAATCTGATCTTCGAAAAACATGACAAAAACAAGCAATGAGAAAAGGATTCCCTATTTAATAAATGGTGCTGGGAAAACTGGCTAGCCATATGTAGAAAACAGAAACTGGACCCCTTCCTTATCTTTACACCTTATACAAAAATTAACTCAAGATGGATTAAAGACATAAATGTAAAACCTAAAACCATAAAAACCCTAGAAGAAAACCTAGGCAATACCATTCAGGACATACGTATGGGCAGAAACTATATGACTAAGACACCAAAAAGCAACTGCAACAAAGGCCTAAACTGACAAATGGGATCTAATTAAACTAAAGAGCTTCTGCTCAGCAAAAGAAATTATCATCAGAGTGAATAGGTAACCTAGAGAATGGGAGAAAATTTTTGCAATCTATCCATCTGACAAAATTCTAACATCTAGAATCTACAAGGAACTTTAACAAATGTACAAGAAAAAACAAACAACCCCATCAAAAAGTGGGTGAAGGATATGAACAGACACTTCTCAAAAGAATACATATATGCAGCCAACAAACATGAAAAAAAGCTCATCATCACTGGTCATTAGACAAATGCAAATCAAAACCACAATGAGATGCCATCTCATGCCAGTTAGAGTGGCAATCATTAAAAAGTCAGGAAACAACAGAGGCTGGAGAGGATATGGAGAAATAGGAATGCTTTTCACTGTTGGTGGAGTGTAAATTAGTTCAAGCATTGTAGAAGACAGTGTGGTGATTCCTCAAGGATCTAGAACCAAAAATACCATTTGACCCAGCAATCCCATTACTGGGCATATATCCAAAGTATTATATAGTAGGGGATACAATCATATCCCCTACTATAAAGACACATGCACGTGTATGTTTATTGCAGTGATATTTACAACAGCAAAGACTTGGAACCAACCCAAATGCCCACCAATGATAGACTGGATGAAGAAAATGTGGCACATATACACCATGTAATACTATGAAGCCATAAAAAAGAATTTCATGTCCTTTGCAGGAACATGTATGAACCTGGAAACCATCATCCTCAGCAAGTTAACACAGGAACAGAAAATCAAACATCGCATGTTCTCACTCGTAAGTGGGAGTTGAACAATGAGAACACATGGACACAGGGAGGGAAACATCAGACACTGGGGCCTGTCAGCATGTGGAAGGAAAGGGGAGGGAGAGCATTAGGACAGATGCCTAATGCATGTGGGGCTTGAAACCTAGATGATGCGTTAATAGGTGTAGCAAAGCACCATGGCATTAGAAAACAAATAACAAAATGTTGTGAAAAAGTCATTACTTAAAAGTAATCTTGAATGTAAATAGACAAAACTTTCCAATCATAAGACTTAGCATGGATGAATGGATAAAAAACAAGTCCAAATTGTCTGTTTTCTACCAGAAACACACTACCTATAAAGACACACATATGCTGAAAACAAGAGATGGAAAAGTGTATGCCATGCAAATGGAAATAAAAAAACAGCAGGTGTAGCTATGCTTATATCAGACAAAATAGACTTCAGACTAAATCTCTAAAAAGAGACAAAGAAAGTCATTTTGTAATGATAAATGGGTCAATTCAGCAAGAGGATGTAACAATTGTAAATATATATGCACCCAACACTGGAACATCCAGACATATAAAGCAAGTGTTATTAGAGCTAAAGAAAGGGATAGACTGCAATACAATAATAACTGGAGACATCAACACTGACATTAAGCACTGGACAGATTACCCAGGAAGAAAATCAACAAAGAAATATTGGAGCTAATCAGCACTACACACCAACTGGGCCTAATAGACGTTTACAGAACATTTCATGTAATGGCAGGAGAATACACATTCTTCTCCCTAGCACATGGATCATCCTCAAGGGTAGACTATACATTAGGCCACAAAACATTTATAAAAACATTCAAAAAATTGAAATAATATCAAGTATCTTCTCTGACCAAAATAGAATTAAGCTAGAAATCAATAACAAGATTAATTTTGAAATCTATATGAACATATGAAAATTAAACAATATGGTCCTGAATGACCAGTGGTTCAATGAAGAGATTGAGAAGGAAATTGAAAAATTTCTTGAAACAAATGATAATGGAACACAGCATACCAGAACCTATGGGATACAGCAAAAGCAATACTTAGAGGGAATTTTACAGCTATAAGTGCCTACATTAAAAAAGAATAAAAACTTCAAATAAACAAACTAATGATGCATCTTAAAGAACTAGAAAAGCAAGAGCAAACCAAACACAAAATTAGTAGAAGAAAAAGATTATAAATAATAAAGAAATAAATAAGAGCAGAAATAAAATTGAAACAGAGAAAACAATACAAAAATCAATGAAACAAAAAGTTTTTAGAAAAGATAAAACCGACAATCCTTTAGTATGGCTAAATAAAAAAAAAGATAATATTCAGGTAAATAATATCAGAGAAGAAAAAGGAGACATTTCAACCAATACCACAGAAATTAATAAACTCATTCGAGTCTACTATGAGCAACTATATGCCATTAAATTGGAAAACCAAGAAGAATGGATAAGGTAGGCATGGTTAATGGGTACATAGATACAGTTTAAAAGAATGAATAAAATCCAGTATTTTATAGCACAACAGAGTGACCGTAATCAATAATCATTTAATTGTGCATTTAAAAATAACTAAAAGAGTATAATTGGATTATTTGTGACAAAAAGAATAAATGCTTGAGGTGATGGATACCTCATTTACCCTAACGTAATTGTTACACATTGTGTGTCTGTATCAAAATATTCCATATACTTCATAAATATATATATGTGTACCTAATATGTTCCCATAAAAATTAAAAAATGAAAAATAAGTTGTGCTTTATTTAATGATAGCAAGGATTTGCTCCAAAGGGAATCATTTTTATGTTTCTAGAGCCAAATATTTTCTATGACATGCATGCACATAATGTACAACTCAGGGCAGTTACTCAAAGCCAAGTCTCTGACATTCAGCATTATTCCTCATCCTATCACACTACATCTTTCCTTGATCATACTATATGTAGTTGCTCATATAAATACCATAATTGAAAAACAGAAGAAAGAAATCTGACATAAAATTTTTTTGCCATATGATGAAAATTGATACCTTGTTTCTCTGCCAACAGAGATCCATTTTGACAAGCTTTACAGGCTATTTAAAAATGAGTATGTATTTCTCACACATTGTTTCATCAGCTAGGGCTACAAAAGGAGGTCACATTCGTTTAATATTTGAAATAATAAAACACCCTGAGCCCTCATCATGACTATAGAAAAATGTTTTATTCCCTTCTATGAGAGCAATGAGATCACCAGAAAGGCTTAATTAGTAAAAGCTAAGGGGTTAGTCCTGATTATTATTGCCTCATAAAGAGAAAATTAGAAAGCCTGTTGTCCTGTTTGTTTTCACTGTTATTATGATTTTTACCACAAGGTGTCAGTACAGGAACCAGGCAGGTCGATTGCTCCAGTACTGTCTTCATGAATTCTCTGCTTCACATCAGGACATATGATATCCTAAGCACACTATGTCACAAAAATTTAGGAAGTCGGAAGTTTTGTGATGTGAAGAAAAACATTAAGGCCTACATCATCATGTCAGTCATTTGTCAGTAGCTTCTCTAGTTGCAGAGACGGAAGGGGAAGATTTTTTCCTTCCTTGTTACATTAAACTTGGCCCTCCTACATCTCATTAATTCTCTAACATGTATTTGTGAATAGGACTCTGATTTCTTTACTAGAGGTATAATGGGCAGACGAATACTGACCCTCCTTCCCTGCCCCTTGCTTAAGCCAGATAACTTGAAATTCATTTCTGAGGGTAGACCTGTTTAAAAAAAAAAAAAAAGAAAGAAAAAAGAATACATCCACAGAGTTGTGTAACCATTACCACAATTTAATATTATAACTACTTTATCACCTAAAAAGAAACTTTGTACCCATTAGACTTTAGTCTCTATTTCCCCTCAAACTCTCTACCCCTAGGCAATGACCAGTTTACTTTCTATATCTAGATGTAGCTCTTTGAAATTTCACATAAGTTAAATTATACAATATGTAGTGTTTTGTAATTTGTTTCTTTCATTTTGCATGTTTCTAAGGTTCATATGTGTTGTAGCATGTATTAATACTTTACTCCTTTGCATTACTGGATAATACTGCCTTATATGTCTGCAGTTCATTTGTTTATCCATTTGCCAATTGATGGGCATTTGGGTTATTTCTATTTTTTGGCTATTATGAATGACTCTGTTATAAACATTTGTGTACAAGGTTTTATGTGGACATATATCTTCATTCCTTCTAGAAGTGGAATACCCTGGACATATGGTAGCTCTAAGTTTAACCTTTTGAAGAACTGCCAGACTGTATTCCAATGTGGATGCATCATTATACACTCTCAATAGCAGAATATGAAGGTTCTATTTTTTTCCACATTTTTATCAACCCATTTTATCATCTTTCTTTTGGATTATAAATATCTTAGTGGGTGTAAAGTGCTATTTTATTGTGGTTATAATTTGTATTTACATAATGACTAATGATATTGACTAGGAACTGTTGTGAATCCACAGCACAACACAGCTGCTCCATGGAAAAAGTGACCAGGCTGTTTTCCAGGGTCCCTGATTTCACTTCTCTGTACTGGCATGGTTTCCTGACCTGAGACTTCAGCACAACTACCCTGCCCCCACATGAACACTGCAGTTGGAGGCAGCTCTGCATTTCTCTCAGGAGGAAATCTAAGAGACAACTCACAATCCCTCTGCCATTGCAGCTGCAGTGATACTGCCCTAACTGCCCTCAGGCAGGGAAAGGAACAAAGGGTCTGGTCACTGTGTTCGCATGTCCAGCACACTGAAGTCATGATATGGAGAGGTATCCAGTCCCTTTCCCTTGTGCGCCCCCAACTTCACTTTTCACCAGGCAGGGCCCTAGCTCAGGACCTCAATTTAGCTGCCCCACCCAGAGCTGAGCACACCTACAGGTAGTGGCACTGAGTTTCCCTGGGGAAGATCTTCCAGAGGCAACCAACAGCCCCTCTGCCACTGTCACAGCAGTGGTTCTGTCCCTGCTGTCCTCAGTGTAAGGAAAGAAACAAAGAGCCTAAGGACTTCACACATGCTCCCAGCATGCCACAATCACATAGAGGGAGGAGCTCAGTCTCTTCTGCCTGTGAGTTATTGACTCTGCTCCTGAAAAAGCAGAGCTCCAAGCTCAGCACAGCAGTGCAGTCACCCTGTCCCCTGGATGAACATACCCAGTAACAGCATCTCCACATTTCTCTTAGGTGAAACTCCCAGAGCCATCTGAAAGCTCCTCTCCCACTGCCATTGCAATGATACTGCCCTTGCTCCCCTTGGATTGGGAAAGGAGAAAATACTCTGAGGGCTTTAACCACACCTCCAGAAAGCTGCAGAGGGAGAAGAAGCCAATCTGCTTCCCTTGTGATCCACTCACCCCCAGTTGTTACCAAGCAGCACCCCCTCCCCCTGGCTTGAGCCCACAGTGCAGCCACTCCAATCACATTAATTGATAGCAGCTCTGCATCTCTGTGGGGTAAAGCTCCATGAGACAAGTGAACCTCTGTAACACCCACTGCTATGGTCCCTTCCCTTGCTGCCTCCAAGGTGGGGAGGGAACATAAAGCCTGAGCTCACCCCAGAGCTGCAGTGTGCAGCCTGGGAGTGCCAAGCCAAGATCTGCAGCCAGTACTCAAGTGGGAAAGGAATAAAACTTTCAGAGCACTAAGAAGGACCATGATTGCAATTGTGAAAAAACACAGATAAGCCATGTGATTGAGCAAGAGGCTGCATACTGGCCATTTTACTTCAGCACAGTCTACTAGATTGAAGACCAAAACTTCTACACCAAAATACTTTGCTGATATACTCGATGAAACAAAGGACAAGAATTCACCTACAAATAACCACCCTGCACAAAGCTTCAGCTCTCTGAATACATCCTAAAAAGAAGTCTACTGCCTGTACTCAAATTACACCACAGTTAAAAGAACAACAGCCCACACAGATGAGAAAGAACCAGCACAATAACTCTGACAATTAAAAAAGTCAGAGTGACTTCTTTCCTCCAAATGACTGCACCATTTCCCAAGAAAGACTTCTTACCTGGCTGAAATGGCTAAAATGACAGAACTAGAATTCAGAGTATAGATAGTAAATGAAGATCATCAAAACTCAGGAGTGAACACCCAATCCAAGGAATCTAAGAATTACAATAAAATAAAAAATAAGCTGGTAGACAAAGAGACCATTATAAAAAAGAACTAAATAAATCTGATAGAATTGAAAAACACACTACAAGAATTTCATAATGTAATCACAAGTATTTACAGTAGGATAGACCAAGCTAAGGAAAGAATATCAGGGCTCAAAGACTAGCTATCTAAAATAATTCAGTAAGACTAAAAACAAAAGAATAAAAAATATGAACAAAACCTCTGAGAAATATGAGATTATGTAAAGAAATCAAATCTATAACCCACTTGTGTCCCCGGAAGAGATGCGGAGAAAGTAAGCATCTTGGAAAACATATCTCAGAATATTGTCCAAGAAAACTTTTCCAACCTCACTAAAGGGTTAACATTCAAATTAAGGAAAGGCAGAAAACCCTTGCAAGATACTACATAAGAAGACCATCTCAAAGACACAAAATTATTAGATTCTCAAGGGTCAAAATGAAAGAAAAAAATGTTAAAGGCAGACAGAGAAAAGGGGCAGGTCACCTACAAAGGGAACCCCATCAGGCTAACAGCAGAACTTTCAGCAGAAACTCTATAAGCCAGAAGAAATTGAGGGCCAATAATCAGCATTCTTAAGGAAAAGAATTTCCAATCAAGAATTTCATATCCGGCCAAACTAACCTTCATATGTAAAGAACAAATAAGATCTTTTTCAGATAAACAAGTGCTGAGGGAATAAGTTAACACCAGACCTGCCTTACAAGAGGTCCTGAAGGCAGTGCTAAATATGGAAAGAAAAGAATGTTACCAGGACCACAAAAACACACAAGTATACAGGCCAGTGACAGTATAAAGCAACCACACAAACAAGTTTACATAATAACCAGCTAAAGATATGATGTCGGCAGGAGTCCCGGGCTGCCGCTGGCAACATCGTGTCACCCAGCTAAGAAAATCCGCGGGCCGGAGCCACGCGCCTGTGAACCGGAGAGGTCCCACTGCCCGAGTGGAGCCGGGCTGAGATTCTTCTCAAGTTGAGCCTCAGTGATCCTGTGGCCGAAGTTAGCGCCTTGACGTGGGACAACCGGACACGTCGCCGGGAGAGAACTGAGGCGCCTTCTAGCAGTTGTGACGCCAAAATCACGTCTCTGGAGACCCGCGCCCTCCGCCAGCCGGGCGCACCCTCGGCGTTAGCCTTCTTTGTGCGCCGTCCGGACTCCCAGCTCCCGGCCCGGCAGCCGAGCCCCAGCACAAAGCAGTCGGACCGCGCCGCCCGCCTCCCGGCTCGTGCCCCCGCCTCGGTTTTCCAACTCTGCGCCGTCGGGTCGCGGCAGGATGGTTGCCTCGCATTTGCTTGCCTACTTCTTCAAGGAGCTCAACCATGACCAAGTGCAGAAGGTTGACCAGTATCTCTACCACATGCACCTCTCTGATGAGACCCTCTTGGAGATCTCTAAGCGGTTCCGCAAGGAGATAGAGAAAGGGCTTGGATCCACCACTCACCCCACTGCAGCAGTGAAGATGCTGCCCACCTTTGTGAGGTCCACTTCAGATGGGACAGAACACGGAGAGTTCCTGGCTCTGGACCTTGGAGGGACCAACTTCCGTATGCTTTGGGTGAAAGTAACGGACAATGGGCTCCAGAAGGTGGAGATGGAGAACCAGATCTATGCCATCCCCGAGGACATCATGTGAGGCAGTGACACCGAGCTGTTTGACCACATTGTCGAATGGCTGGCTAACTTCATGGATAAGCTACAAATCAAAGACAAGAAGCTCCCATTGGGTTTTACCTTCTCGTTCCCCTGCCGCCAGACTAAACTAGACGAGAGTTTCCTGGTCTCATGGACCAAGGGATTCAAGTCCAGTGGAGTGGAAGGCAGAGACGTTGTGGCTCTGATCCGGAAGGCCATCCAGAGGAGAGGGGACTTTGATATCGACATTGTGGCTGTGGTGAATGACACAGTTGGGACCATGATGACCTGTGGTTATGACGACCACAACTGTGAGATTGGTCTCATTGTGGGCACTGGCAGCAACGCCTGCTACATGGAAGAGATGCGCCACATCGAGATGGTAGAAGGCGACGAGGGGCAGATGTGTATCAATATGGAGTGGGGGGCCTTCGGGGACGATGGCTCGCTCAATGACATTCGCACTGAGTTTGACCAGGAGATTGACATGGGCTCACTGAACCTGGGGAAGCAACTGTTTGAGAAGGTGATCAGTGGGATGTACATGGGGGAGCTGATGAGGTTTATCCTGGTGAAGATGGCCAAGGAGGAGCTGCTCTTTAGGGGGAAGCTCAGCCCAGAGCTTCTCAACACCGGTCACTTTGAGACCAAAGACATCTCAGACACTGAAGGGGAGAAGGATGGCATCCGGAAGGCCCGTGAGGTCCTGATGCGGTTGGGCATGGACCCGACTCAGGAGGACTGCGTGGCCACTCACCGGATCTGTCAGATCGTGTCCACACACTCCGCCAGCCTGTGCACAGCCACCCTGGCCCCCGTGCTGCAGCGCATCAAGGAGAACAAAGGTGAGGAGCAGCTTCGCTCTACTATTGGGGTCGACGGTTCCGTCTACAAGAAACACCCCCATTTTGCCAAGCGTCTACATAAGACCGTGTGGCGGCTGGTGCCCGACTGCTATGTCTGCTTCCTCCGCTCCGAGGATGGCAGTGGCAAAGGTGCAGCCATGGTGACAGCAGTGGCTTACCGGCTGGCCGATCAACACCGTGCCCGCCAGAAGACACTAGAGCCTCTGCAGCTGAGCCATGACCAGCTGTTGGAGGTCAAGAGGAGGATGAAGGTAGAAATGGAGCGAGGTCTGAGCAAGGAGACTCACGCCAGTGCCCCCGTCAAGATGCTTCCCACCTACGTGTGTGCCACCCCTGACGGCACAGAGAAAGGGGACTTCTTGGCCTTGGACCTTGGAGGAACAAATTTCCGGGTCCTGCTGGTCTGTATTCGGAATGGGAAGTGGAGTGGAGTGGAGATGCACAACAAGATCTATGGCATCCCGCAGGAGGTCATGCATGGCACCGGGGACGAGCTCTTTGACCACATTGTCCAGTGCATCGAGGACTTCCTGGAGTACATGGGCATGAAGGGCGTGTCCCTGCCTCTGGGTTTTACCTTCTCCTTCCCCTGCCAGCAGAACAGCCTGGACGAGAGCATCCTCCTCTAGTGGACAAAAGGCTTCAAGGAATCTGGCTGCGAGGGTGAGGACGTGGTGACCCTGCTGAAGGAAGCGATCCACTGGCGAGAGGAGTTTGACCTGGATGTGATTGCTGTGGTGAACGACACAGTCAGAACTATGATGACCTGTGGCTTTGAAGACCCTCACTGTGAAGTTGGCCTCATCGGTTGGCATGGGCAGCAATGTCTGCTACATGGAAGAGATGAGCAATGTGGAACTGGTGGAAGGAGAAGAGGGGCGGATGTGTGTGAACATGGAATGGGGGGCCTTTGGAGACAATGGATGCCTAGATGACTTCCACACAGAATTTGATGTGGCTGTGGATGAGCTTTCACTCAACCCCGGCAAGCAGAGGTTCGAGAAAATGATCAATGGAATGTACCTGGGTGAGATTGTCGGTAACATTCTCATCGATTTCACCAAGCGTGGGCTGCTCTTCTGAGGCCACATCTCAGAGCTACTCAAGACAAGGGGCATCTTTGAAACCAAGTTCTTGTCTCAGATTGAGAGTGACTGCCTGGCCCTGCTGCAACACTTAGGGCTTGAGAGCACCTGTGACGACAGCATCATTGTTAAGGAGGTGTGCACCGTGGTGGCCCGGCGGGCAGCCCAGCTCTGTGGTGCAGGCATGGCTGCTGTGGTGGACAAGATACGAGAAAACCGTGGGCTGGACGCTCTCAAAGTGACAGTGGGTGTGGATGGGACCCTCTACAAGCTACATCCTCACTTTGCCAAAGTCATGCATGAGACAGTGAAGGACCTGGCTCCGAAATGTGATGTGTCTTTCCTGCAGTCAGAGGATGGCAGCGGGAAGGGGGTGGCGCTCATCACTGCTGTGTTCTGCCGCATCCGTGAGGCTGGACAGCGATAGAACCCCTGAAATCGGAAGGGACTTCCTCTTTCTCTCCCTCCTCCCTGTTTTAAATTACAAGGTGTCATCCCTTTGTGTCAGAGACAGACCCCTTGGCTTTTCCTTGGCAGAGAGGACCCCACTGGACAGGGTTTTGTCTCTGCATCTCATCGTAGAGCTTGGTGGCCGAGCTTGGCCCTATTAAGATAAATACAGTTCCAAATAAGGATTTGTTCACATGCGTCACAACCATTCCCATTGGTTCTCTTAAAACATGAAAATTGTCACCCTTAGTAATCCGCCTTGCCAAATTCCACGTCCCTGTATAATTCTACAGGATGGGGACACTAATGAAGATGTGGTTGCTTCACCTTGGAGCCTGAACATGACATTTCCAGGTGGGGTGCATCCCCCAGCACTGACGTTGTTACTGATTCTCCTGTCAGAGATATGCGAGGTCTCCACTGAGGACGTGAGCCTGATTGTCCTACAGGCAGACGTGGGGAGGGTGGAGGGGCGACAATGGAGGGAAATCCATGGATATCCACGCAGCAGCCCCTCTTTAACCTCATCTACAAGCATTTGCCCTGTGGATTCCAGCATTTGCTATTCCTGGAATCAAGGAATCCCAAGTCTGGGCAATGAAACCAAAGCCAGGAGTTGATGAATTCTGCAGTCGGGCCAGCTGTCGCACCTCAGCGGGGTGCACATGTTATCCACCAGCAATGGACCTTTGGGGAGGGGGGAGTTTTTAGTTTGTTTTACAAATTTTTCCTGCAAAAGTGGAAACACTGTATTTTCATTTTAATTTATATTTGAAATTTTATTTAGTTCTTGAAGTAGATCTGCTTCTTCATCTTGACGTGTAATGGTCAGTTGTACGTAATGTATTTATATGTTAATTTGTTATGTATACAGATATGCAAGTCTTGTCAGAATTGGCCTCAGTGTAGTTAAAGGGCGGAAGAGGAAGATACTGACTAGTCATAGAAATACCTCATTCGCCTGTGGGAAGAGAAGAGAAGCCTCTTCAGGGTGAGTGAATGGCAAAGTGGTTGCTTCTGGCTCCTCCTTCCCCTGTGGTCTTGGAAGTGTGTGGAAGGCAGGGACAGAGATGGAGGCTGAGCCAATAGACTGAAGAGACCACAGCAATTGGCTCCTCCATCTAGAGATTTTCTTGGGGCAACATTCCATGGGATGTTAAGCAAAGGAAACCAAAGGAATCGTTTCAAATGGACTCATGGCTTAGAAATCTTTATTCTTAGGGCAGTCAGTAGTATTTTAAAGCTTTCTGACAAGATAAAGGAAGTCGCCAAAATTTCTTTTTTTAAGTTGTATCTAATCCTCAACAACAAACCAAAACAGAAAAATTAAACAACCAAATAAAACCTCAGGGACAACATTTTTGGTGTATTTGTGCCCTCCCAGCAAGTTTCACCTTGGGTTTGTATTTTAAATGTTTTACAAGAATTGTTGTCCATGTGCTTCCCTAGGCTGAGCTGGCATTGGTCTGCTAACCTGTTTTTGTGTTTTTTTTTTATACACAATATTTATTTCAAACTAGTGGGAAAAAATTAATTTATTTCAATTTATTGGGAGGGATGAGAGTGGCTTAAAAACTTCCATCCCTACTTTTCAAGAGTGCAGTTGATTCTGAATCTGAAAGCCTGCCTCTGCCCTAAAATACGCAAAAGCACAGACATTAAACCTGGATACTATATAATAGAGGGATGTAACTATTGAATTGGATACAAGGATCAGAATGGAAAGAAACTCACGATGAAATTGCACCCAGTTTTTGTGTATCTATCAAACTTGTGCTGGGAATAGTGTCCGATTATACAACTTTTACGCAAAGTTGGGTGTAATTAGGTGAAAACGGCCCAGCTCCTCCTGGGAGCACAGAGGGGAGAGGGGCTGGTCTTTCTCGTTTATTCTAGTCTTGCTTTGCTGTCTGGTGTAGCTCTTCTGCTGCTCCCATCTGCACTAATTGACCCAAAATGTGGGTGTCTCCTGCTACACAAAAGCCAAAAGCTTTCACGTAGATTTTAGTTCACTAAAGGGTGTCCACAAAATAGAGATTAATTTTAACTTAAATTTTAAGCTTGAAGATTAGGTGCTATCTATGAAGTTACACTTTTTTTTTTAAAGGTAGAGATGTGTGTGTGTGTTTGTGTAGGTATTAAAGATGTGTTGTTGGTTTCCAAAAAGGAACACTGGAAATAAATTTTGAATGTTTGCGTTCTCAGAATCAGGTTGACAGTCCCTTGCTGACATGGCTTTGCTTGTGTAAATACAGTGGATCTCAATCTTCGGGGTGTGATGAATAGCAAATCATCTCAAATCCTTGAGCACTCAGTCTAGTGAAGATGTTGTCATTATGTACAATACATAACTAGTTTAATTAACTATGTGATGTTAACTATTATTAATAAATTTTAACATTTTCCAAAATAAATAAAAAAACATGATGTCATGATAAAATCCACACATGTCAATACTAACCTTGAATGTAAACAGATTAAGTACCCCAGTTAAAAGGCACATAACGTCAAGCTAAAGAAGTTAGACCCAAATGTATTCTGTCTTAAAGAGAACCATCTCACATGCAATGACACACATAGGCTCAAATTTAAAAATGGAGAATAATCTACCATGCAAATGGAAAACAGAAGGAAGCAGACGTTGCTTTCTTAATTTCAGGCAAAACAGACTTTAAACCAACAAAGACAAAACAAGACAAAGAAGAGCATTACATAATGGTAAAAGGTTCAATTCACCAAGAAGACCTAACTGTTCTAAATATGTAAGCACCCAACACAGGAGCAACGAGCTTCATAAGGCAAGTTCTTGGAGACCTGTAAAGAGACTTAGATTCCCACACAATAATAGTGAGAGACCTCAACACCCCCACTGACAGTATGAGAAAGATCATGGAGGCAAAAAATTAACAAAAATATTCAGGGCCTATACTCAACACTTGACAAAATGAAATTAATAGACATTTACAGAACACTCCACCCCCAAACAACAGAAAATACATTTTTTGTCATCACCACATGGTACATACTCTAAAATCAACCACTCAATGTGATCTCAAACAACACTCAGAAAATTAAGAAAAAAAAGCTTACATCATAATAACCACACTCTCAGACCATAGTGCAACAAAAATAGAAATCAACAGTAAGAAAATTGCTGAAAACCATGTATTTACATGGAAATTAAACAACCTGCTCCTGAAGGACTTTTGGGTAAGTAATGAAATTAAGGCAGAAATCAAGAAGTTATTTGAAACTAGTGAGATCAAATATACAACATATCAGAATCTCTGGGACATAGCAAAGGCCACATAAAGAGGGAAGTTTATAGCACCAAATTCCCACACCAGAAAGTTAGAAACATTTCAAATTATCAGCATAACATCACAACTACAGGAACTAGAGAAGCAAGAGCAAACCAACTTCAAAGCAAGAAGAAATAAAGAAATAACCAAAATCAGACCTGAGCTGAAGGAAATTGAGACATGAAAAGCCACTCATAAAATCAACAAATCCAGGAGATGGTCTTTTAAAAAATTAATAAGATACATAGATCACTAGCTAGAATAATAAAGAAAAAAAGAGAGAAAATCCAAATAAACCCAATTAGAAATGGCAAAGGGGACATTACCACCTACCCCACATAAAAAAAAAAAAACTACTCATTGACTACTAGAAACACCTTTATGCACAAAAGCTAGAAAATCTAGAAGAAATGTATAAATTCCTGGACACATACATCCTCCTAAGACTGAGCAAGAAAGAAATTGAATCACTGAACAGATCAATCATGAATTCCAAAATTAAATCAGTAATGAAATATCTACCAATCAAAAAAAAAAAAAGCCCAGGACCAGATGAATTCACAGCCTAATTCTACCAGATATATAAAAAAGAGTTGATACCACTCCCATTGAAACTATTCCAAAAAATTGAGGAGGAGGGTCTCCTACCCAAAACACTCTATGAGACCAGCATCATCCTGATACCAGAACCTGGCAGAGACACAACAACAACAAAACTCAGGCCAATATCCTTAAAGTACGTAGATGCAAAAATACTCAACAAAATACTAACAAACTGTACACATCAGCACATCGAAAAGGAAACTCACCATGATCAAGTAGGTTTTATCCTTGGGCTGCAAGTTTGGTTGAACATATGCAAGTTTGGTTCAACATATGCGAATCAAGAAATGTGATTTATCACATAAACAGACTTAAAAATGAAAATTATATTATTATCTCAATAGATTCAGATAAGTCTTTTGACAAAATTCAACATCGCTTTATGTTATAAATTCTCAACAAACTAGGCATTGAAGGCACATTCCTTAAAATAATAAGAGCCATCTATGACAAACGCACAGCCAATATCGTACTGAATGGGCAAAACCTGGAATCATTCCTTTTGAATGCTGGATCATTATAAAGATGCCCTCTATAACGATTCCTAATTAATATAGTACTGAAATTCCTGACCAAAAAAAATCAGGTATGACAAAGAAATAAAAGGCATCCCAATATGAAAAGAGGAAGTCAAACTACCCTGTTTGTAGAAGTCGTGATTCTATATCTAGAAAACCTTGAAGTCTCAGCCCTCAAGCTCCACGATATAGTAACCAATGTCAGCAAAGTTTCAGAATACAGAAATCAATGTACAAAAATTAGTAGCATTCCAGTACAAAAACAACAGTCAAGCCAAGAGCCAAATCAGAAACAAACTCCCATTTACAATTGCCACAAAAGGAGTAAAATACCTACAAATACAGCTAACCAGGGAGGTGAAAGATCTGTACAACAAGAATTGCAAAACACTGCTCATGGAAACCAGAGATGAAACAAACAAAAAGAAAAACATTACATGCTCATTGATAGGAAGAATCAATGTCATTAAAATGGCCATAGTGCCCAAAGCAATTTATAGATTCAGTGCTATTCCTATCAAACTACGAATGACACAGAATTTAAAAAAAAAACTGTTTTAAAATTCATACGAAACAAACAAAAAAAGATCTTGAATAGCCAAGGCAATTCTAAGCAAAAAGAACAAAGCTGAACGCCTCACGTTACCTGAATTTTAATCATATTACAAGGCTATAGTAAAAACAAACAAAGAAAAAAAACCAACCAAACTGACAACAATAACAAAAAAATCCTCCAGAATGGTACTGGTACAAAAACAGACACACAGAACAATGGAACAGAATAGAGATCCTGGAAACAAGGTTACATGCCTACAACTATGTGATCTTCTACAAAGCTGCCAAAAAACAAGCAATGGGTGAAAAGACTCCCTATTCAATAAATGATGCTGGGATAACTGGCTAGCCATATGCAGAAGATTGAAACTGGACCCTTTCTTACATCAAATAAAACTGTAAACTCGAAATGGATTAAATACTTAAATTTAAAACCTAAAACTATGAACAACCTAGAAGACAACTTGTGCAATACCATTCTGGACATAGGACCTGACAAAGATTTCATTACAAAGATACCAAAAGCAATTGCAACAGAAACAAAAAATAGACAAATGGGATCTAATTAAACTAAAGAGTTTCTGCACAGCAAAAGAAACTATTAACAGAATAAACAAACAATTGAAATGATGGGACAAAATCTTTGCAAACTATACATCTGACGAAGGTCTAATATCTAGCATCTATAAGAAACTTAAACAAATTTACAAGTAAAAAACAACCTCATTAAAAAGTGGGCAAAGTACATCCACAGACACTTCTCAAAAGACATACACACAACCAAGAAGCGTATGAAACAAAGCTCAACATCGCTAATCATTAGAGAAATGCAAATCCAAACTACAATGAGGTTCCAGCTCACACCAGTCAGAATGCTTATTATTAAAATGTCAAAGAATAACAGATGCTGGAGAGGTTGTGCAGAAAAGGGTATGCTTATACACTGTTGGCAGGAATATAAATTAGCTCAGCCATTTTTAAAAGCAGTGTGGTGCTTTCTCAAAGAATTTGAAATAGAATGACCATTCTACTCAGCAATCTAATTATTGTGTATATATCAAAATAATATAAATCATTGTATCATAAAGACACAAGCATGTGTATTTTCATTGCAGCACTATTCACAATAGCAAAGACATAGAATCCACCTAAATGCCCAGCAATGGTAGACAGGATAAAGAAAATGTGGTACATATATACCATGGAATATTACACATCCATATAAAAAACCAAAATCATGTGTGTCTGTGGTTTTTTTTCAGTAACATAGATGATGTTGGAGGTGATTATCCTATGCAAAGTAACACAGGAACAGAAAACCAAATAATGCATGTTCTCACTTATAAGTGAATGCTAAACAATAAGAACATGTGGACACAAAGAGGGGAACAACAGACACTGGGGCCTACTTGAGGGTGAAGGTTGGGAGGAGGGAGAGGATCAACATAGTACCTGTCGTTCAGTATGCTTACTACCTGGGTGGCAACATAACCTGTACAGAAAATCACCATGACGTGCAGTTTACTTATAAAGCAAACCTGCACATGGATCTCTGATACTAAAATAAAAGTTATAAAAGAAAATAATCTAATTTCACTCTTCTGCATGTGGATATCCAGTTATCCCTGCACCATTTTTTTTTAAGGAAACCATCATTCCCCATTGTATGTTTTTGGCACTCTTGTTGCAGATCAGCTGACTGCATCTTTGGGTATATATTTCTGTGTTCTCTATCCTTTTCCATTGGTAGCTATGTTGGTCTTTATGTTAATAACACACTATTTTAATTATTATAACTTTATAATATATTTTAAAATCAGAAAGTCTGATGCTTCCATCTTTATTTTTTTTTTAAATATCACTTTGTATATTCTGAATCTTCTGTGGTTTCACATGAATTTTAAGGTGTTTCTAGGACGTATAAAACTGCCACTGGAATTTTGATAGGGATAGCATTGAATCTGTACATCACTTTTGGTAGTATGTGCAGTTTAGCAATATTAATTCTTCTAATTCATTAACATTAAATGTCCTTCTATTTATTTGTGCCCCTTAATTCCTTTCATTGAAGTTCAGTAGTTTTCAGTGTATAAGTCTTTTAGCAACTTGGTTGACTTTACTCATAAGTATTATTTTTACATTTTTATACTATTGTAAATGGAATTGTTTTCTTAATTTTCTTTTAGGATGGTTCATTGTTAGTGTATATAAATGTAGCTTATTTTATATTGACTTTGTATCCTGCAATTTTATTGAATTATTTTATTAGTTCTAATAATACTTTTGGAGTTTGTACAAATTAGGATCATGTCATCTACAAACAGACATAATTTTACTTCTTCCTTTGTTATTTGCATTTCTTTTATTTATTTTTTCTTATCTAATTACTCTGGCTAGTGCTTTCAGTGCTATGTCGGAGGGAAGTGGTGAGAGTGAGCATCCTCATTTGATTTTCAATAACAGAGGTCAAATATGATGTGATGTTAACAGTTATCTTTTCATATACACCTTTTATTATATTGAGGTACATTCCTTGTACACCTGTTTTGTTGGGTATTTTTATTATGAAATAACATTCAACTTTGTTAAATGCTTTTTTCATATCTATTGAGGTGATCATATGATTTTTGTTCTTCATTATGTTAATGTGATATATCACATCAATTGATTTACATATGTTGAATCATCCTTGCATCTCAGTGATAAGTCCCTTTGATCATGGTGTATGATCTTTTTAATGTCCTGTAGAATTTAATTTTCCAGTATTTTGTTGAGAATTTTTGCATCTATATTTATAAGGAATATTTTTTCTTTTTTTTAAAATTTTTTATTATACTTTAAGTTTTAGGGTACATGTGCACAATGTGCAGGTTTGTTATGTATGTATACATGTGCCATGTTGGTGTGCTGCACCCATTAACTCTTCTTTTAACAATAGGTATATCTCCAAATGCTATCCCTCCCCCGTTACCCCACCCCACAACAGGCCCCAGAGTGCGATGTTCCCCTTCCTGTGTCCATGTGTTCTCATTGCTCAATTCCCACCTATGAGTGAGAACATGCGGTGTTTGGTTTTTTGCCCTTGCGATAGTTTGCTGAGAATGATGGTTTCCAGCTTCATCCATGTCCCTGCAAAGGACATGAACTCATCCTTTTTTATGGCTGCATAGTATTCCATGGTGTATATGTGCCACATTTTCTTAACCCAGTCTATCATTGTTGGACATTTGGGTTGGTTCCAAGTCTTTGCTATTGTGAATAGTGCCGCAATAAACATACATGTGCATGTGTCTTTAGAGCAGCATGATTTATAATCCTTTGGGTATATACCCAGTAATGGGATGGCTGGGTCAAATGGTATTTCTAGTTCTAGATACCCGAGGAATCTCCACACTGACTTCCACAATGGTTGAACTAGTTTACAGTCCCACCAACAGTGTAAAAGTGTTCCTATTTCTCCACATCCTCTCCAGCACCTGTTGTTTCCTGACTTTTTAATGATCGCCATTCTAACTGGTGTGAGATGGTATCTCATTGTGGTGTTGATTTGCATTTCTCTGATGGCCAGTGATGATGAGCATTTTTTCATGTGTTTTTTGGCTGCATAAATGTCTTCTTTTGAGAAGTGTCTGTTCATATCCTTCGCCCACTTGTTGATGCGGTTGTTTGTTTTTTTCTTGTAAATTTGTTTGAGTTCATTGTAGATTCTGGATATTAGCCCTTTGTCAGATGAGTAGGTTGCAAAAATTTTCTCCCATTCTGTAGGCTGTCTGTTCACTCTGATGGTAGTTTCTTTTGCTGTGCAGAAGATCTTTAGTTGAATTAGATCCCATTTGCCAATTTTTGCTTTTGTTGCCATTGCTTTTGATGTTTTAGACATGAAGTCCTTGCCCATGCCTATGTCCTGAATGGTATTGCCTAGGTTTTCTTCTAGGGTTTTTATGGTTTTAGGTCTAACATGTAAGTCTTTAATCCATCTTGAATTAATTTTTGTATAAGGTGTAAGGAAGGGATCCGGTTTCATCTTTCTACATATATTGATCTGTAATTTTCTTTTCTTGTAGTGTCTTTGTCTGGCTTTGATGTTAGGGTAATGTTCTCCTCCTAAAATGAGTTTCGAGATGCTTTCTCTTCTTTGAATGTTTGAAACAGTTTGAGAAGTAGTGACACAATTTCTTTCTTTTTTTTATCTTGGTGTAGAACATTTATTTATTTTTCCCATGAATCACTCAAAGTTTAGGTCAATGGGGAATAATTTTAATCAAATAATTGTACATTTTCTTCCCACATATCCTGCCTTGTATTAGGAAATGACATTGTGATCCATTTCATTACAAGTAAAATATTACAAAATATTTATAGGAAAATTAAAATAACTCAAAAACAAAATTAAAAATAACTTAAAAATAACTCAAAAACAAAAGGCAAGATGAAATAAACTGGTTTTTCAGAAATCTCTACTCTAGTGTCCACAGCACACAAGAACAGAGTCAAAACAAATAAGCAATTAAGATCCCCCGATCACAAATTTCCAAATAATTAGAGTAGGGCAAGAAATAGGATGAGAATGGTGGTGTGAAACGGAATGGATGTTAGCAGCACTGCTTCAATAACTGATATATTCTGAATGAAATACCCTCTTTTATGTGTAGTAAATTCTGAACAAGGCTAAATTTTAGGATACTTCTTGAACTGAAATTAGAAAATACCCTGACAATGGAAGCAGCTCTCTCATCTCAGTTTAATAAGAGCCTCTTTCTTTCTCCATTGGCCACTGTTGTGAACAGAAGCCTGTTATGGCATCAAAAGCTGTCAGAGTAGCCCTTCCATCTCTTTCATGAAAACCTCATAGACATCATCCTTAGTTTGTACTGAGACAGGAACAGAAGAACCAGATTTGGGTGCTGCTTTGGCAAGAGGCACAGCAGAATCATCCTCTGACTTTCTTTGGGGAGCAGCAGTAGCCCCTTTATTCTCCCAACGAACTCTCAGTGCAGTGGGCAGAAGTAGAGTAATCTCTGCCTTGGTATTATTGATCTGTGACTTGCCACTGATGGTTGCTGTGGCTTTCTTCTCAATCGTGGCTGCACTCATATCATCCGCTTTGGGTTGCTGAATCAAGTTGGGTGGGGCACTTAAAAAACCCCAGGGTTCGGCTAGGGAGGTGGTGGGAAAAACCCAGGGGGGCAGGTCCAAGGGGAGGCACCAAAGGTGGGCGCATCATGCCGGGACAAGGTGAGGGAATACCTGGAGGTACTCTTGGTGGGGGTCCCCAAGGAGGGGGACCAGGAGGCATACCTGCAGTTGGACCTGGGAAAGGGACAGGGGGTCAAGCCTCATGGTGGTCCTGGAGGTAAAAGTTGGGGTAAAGGCCCTTGGAGTCCTGGCATTTCAGATGGTCTCAGTAATGGAGGAGCTCCTGGAGGTGGACCAGGAGGAAGGCCCGTAGGTGGCCCAGGAGGCCGTAATGGTAGAGCAGGTGGTGGTCCAAGAGGTGGTGGTCCTGGCATGGGAGGTGCTTGTATCTGAGAAGGAGGAGCAGACCTCAGGGGAGCCTGCTGCTATGAAGAAGCAGTGGATGTGCCATCAGCATGAGATTCTTCTTTATTCTGTTTTTATGATTGCTTTTCTGCTTCAGAGTCATCAGAATCATCTTCATCACCGTCCGCTGAAAATTCTTCTACTGCCCATCACTCCTCAGGGATTTCTTGACCTGCCATACGAAGCATCATAGCTTGAAGAGGAGTTAGTTCCTTCATGTTCTTCTTTTTTTCCTTGATTTTCCAGGCATATTTGCAAACTGTACACTAGGACCTGACTTCTTTTCTTCATTGTTGTCTCTCTCACCATCATCATGGTGCACAAATTCATCCTCCTCACTTTCTCCATCTGATCCGTTGGTGTCACTGTCATCAGTACTTTCATCATGCTTATCTTGATCCATGTCCTCAGGATAGCCATCATCTTCACTGGTGCTAGAAACATCATCATCATGACCTCTCTGGGCAAGTGCAGGACTATAAAATATGTCTTCATCTCGCCTACATGGGGGAAGATCTAGGGCGAAACACACTTTACGGCCGTACATCTGCACGACTTGAGAAGGAGGTGGGCCAGAGAGAGGGCAAAGAGGTTTTCTGCCATGGGGCGAACGTGGAACACCATGTCCAAGAAGAGCCAGGATAGAAACTGCCCGAGTTGGACGTCCATAGGCTGAGGTTTTCTTAAGGATGGAGGGTGGATGGGCACCGGGAAGTGGAATGTCTTGGATCAAAATGTTGGAAGGAATATGTGGCATATCTGACAAAGGAATACTCTCCATTTCCACATGCAGAGCATTCTTGACGGCATCAAAATATTGGCTAAGTTGAGCCCTCTTCTGTTTATACTCTACTTCTAGCTTTCTCAGTTCTTTGTAAATATTTGGATTCTCTTTTTCATAGAGTCGTAGAATACCAAAGGTTTCACGCAGCTTTTTACGCTTGTCTTTTAATACTTTCTCATTTAATTGTGGCTGTTATACTGGGTTAAACTCCATTTCATCCAATTTCTCCATGTCTCAGATAATCTGTTTGGGATCCTTCATCCTTAAAACTGGAGCTGGAACCATCTTGTGCTGTTTTTTGCTCTTCTTCAATTCTCTCTTCTGGGCTTCCTTTTGGGCTTGGTCTATGGGGCTCATAAAGTTTCCACTCTTGGTGGATGATGTAGATCTCCATTCCATGGTCACAATTTGTATGTTTTACTGGTTCATTTAAAAAAATATTAAGAAAAACCCTTCTGCTGTGCTCCCAGGACTGCGAGAAGCAGGGAGGGTGGGATTTCTGGCCTCTTAACTTCTTAAGAGCCTTCAACTCGGCCTCTCGGTCAACCCCTCAGCCACCACCATCTTGAAACCTCGCGTGCCTCCTAGTGACGCTATTTCTTGAAATATTTGGTAGAATTCAACAGTGCAGACAGTGAAGACAATTCATCCTGGGCTTTCCTTTACTGTGAGGTTTTTGATTACTGTTTCAATCTGTTTACTCATTATTGGTCCATTCAGATTTTCAATATCTTCATGATCCAGTAAGTTATATGTTTCTGAAAATTTATCCATTTTTCCTAAGTTATCTAATTTGTTGATGTATAATTATTCACAGTGGTCTTTTATAATCTTTTGTATTTCTGTGATATGGGTTGTAATGTTTGCTCTTTACGATTTTATTTGGGTTTTCTCTTTTTTTCAGTGTCACTAAAGCTTTTTCTGTTTTGCTTACTTTTTTGGAAAAATAATTATTGGTTTCGTTGATTTTTTCTTTTTTTTATTGTTAGGTCACCAGATTTATTATTTAACTCTGAAATACTATATTCTATACTTATTTCTATTCTCTTTTTATATTATTTCTGCTGTAATCATTATTAATTCCTTCTCACTTTGGACTTAGTTTTTTCTTCCTTTTGTAGTTCATTGATATGTAATATCGGGTTGTTTACTTGAGATGTTTTTTCTTTTAAAATGTTGATTTTTTATTGCTATAAACTTCCCTCAGTAGTGTTTTAGCTACATTTAATAACTTTTGGCATTTTGTGTTTTAATTTTTATTCCTCTCAAAATATTTAATGATTTCCATTTTTATTTCTCCTTTGACCTATGTGTTTTTTAGATGTGTGCTGTTTAATTTCTACATATTTGTACATTTTCCAATTATCCTTCTGTTATTGATTTCTGGTCTCCTTCCACTGTGTTTGGAAAGGAACTCAGTATTATTTAAATATTCTTAAATTTGCAAATACTTGTTTTGTGGCCTAAGATGTGGTCTGTCCTGGAAACATGTTCTATGTATTTGAGATCAATGTGAATTTTGTTGCCCTTGGGTGGAATTGTCTCTATGTAGATATATAGCCCCATTGGATCTACAGTGCTTTTCAAGTCCACTCTTTTCTTACTGATTTTCTGTCAGGATGATTTACCCATTATTAAAAGCAGGATATTGAAGTATTTTGCTGTTATTGTACGGCTCTCTATTTTGTCCTTAATTTCTGTTATTTGCTTTATGTATTTTTGTGCTTTGATATTGGGTGCCTTATATATTTATGCCTTCCTAATTCATATTTTTATCATTTTATAATGCCCTTGTTTTTTTCTTGTGACAGTTTTTTACATAAAGTCTATTTTTGTCTAATGTAAGTATAGGCACATATGCTTTCTTTTGCTTGCCATATATATGGAATGTCTTTTCTATACCTTCATTTTCAATCTATGTGTGTCCTTAAAGGTGAAGTGAGTCTCTTGTAGACAGAATATAATTAGGTTTTATTTTATTTTTCCATTTAGCTATTCTATGTATTTGGGTTAGAAAGTTTAATCCATTTATGTTTAAAGTAATTACTAATAGGAAAAACTTCCTATTTCCATTGTGTTCATTACTTTTTGCCTGTTTTATAGTTCTTTTGTTTCTTTTTTCTTTTCTTGATGTCTTTTTTGTGTCATTAATTTTTTTGTAGTGATGCTCTTTGATTATTTTCTTTTCTATTGAGTAGCTTATTTTCTTCTAATTACCATGAGAATTTCTTAAAACAGCTTATAGTTATAATAGTGTATTTCAAGCTGCTAACAAATTAACTTTACTCTCCTACATAAATTTTACACTTTTACTTCTTTTCCTCCCCATACTTTATGTTATTTTTGTCACAATTTGCATCTTTTTTTTGTGAATATGTCAACAATTCTTGTAGTTATAATTATTCCTAATATTTTTGAATTTTAACTTTATACTAAACTTAAAAGTGATTTGTGCATCATCATTACAGTATTAGAATATTCTCTTTTGTTTATAAATTTACCTCTACCAGGGAGATCTATACTTTTACAGGCTTTCATGTTGTTATTTAGCATTTCTTTTCTTTCAACTGAAAGACTTCCCTTTAACATTTCTTAGAAAGCAGGTCTAGTGGTTATGAACTTTCTCAGGTTTTTGTTGTCTGGGAAAGTCTTTATCTTTCCTTCATTTTTAAAACACAATTTTCCCAGATATGGTATTTTTAGGTGTCAGGTTTTATCTTTCCTTCATTTTTAAAGGACAATTTTGCCAGATACAGTATTTCGAGGTGCCAAGTTTTTCTTTCAAGTTTTGGCATGTATCATCCTACTTCCTTATAGGTAGTGAGGTTTTTGCTGAGAAATCTGTTGATAGTCTTTGGGGAGGCCCTTTGTTCTTCAGTCATTTTTTTTTTTGCTGCTTCCAAATCTTTTATCTTTGACTTTTGACAACAATTTGATTATAATGTGCCTTGTTATAGAATTATTTTGCTTCTTTCTATTTGAGGTCTTTAGGCCTCATGAATCTAAAGAATAATTTCCTTCTTTAGATTTTGGAATTTTTGACCATTATTTTTTTAAATAAGCTTTCTGTCTCTTTTTATCTTCTTCTTCTGACAATCCCATTACGGATACAATGGTTTTCTTGATTGTATCCAACATATTGCATAGGTTTTCTTCATTATTTTTCATCCTCTTTTATTTTGGCTTTTCTGACTGGATAATTTCGAATGAGTTGTCTGAGTTTGCTGAGCCTTTCTTCTTTATGATTAAGTCTATTGTTGAAGCTTTCTATTTAATGTTTAAATTTTGTTATTATATTGTTGAGCTCTAGAATTTCAGCTTGGTTCTTTGGTATGGTTTGTCTTTTTCTTGATATTCTCATTGTTCAAGTATCATTTCCCTCATTTTATTTGTCTTTCTGTGCCCTCTTATAGCTCACTGAGCTTTATTTTCTCAATTCTTTGTGTTCCCTGTAGCTTTACATTGGTGTCCAAACATTTGAGGAAGCCTCTCAAACGTGTGTGTGTGTGTGTGTGTGTGTGTGTCTGTGTATGTATCTTTTACTCTTCTCCCTCCCTCCTTGGGGAGAAGTTTCAGTGTTGTAAACCTTCTTCTAATTACACACAGCTGTGCTGGCCATGATAAGCTGTCCTCCTCTTTTACCTAGAATGGTGCATTTATGGGCTTGGACATTTGATGCACACTCCACTTCTCTCCCTCCATTCAGACACTTTCAGGGTTTTGCACCTTCTCTCAATATTATGGAGCGATGTCAGCTGACATTTATCTTCTGCTCCTATTTATTTAGAACAGTGCAGTAAAATGCTGTGAAATTAAGTGCAAACTCAAGTTCTCTCTTCTTTCTGAAGAAGAGCATTCTGTGCTGTGTGCCTTCTAAAGCAGCTGCATTGTCTGGGATATCACCTGAGGCCCTTTGTCTCCTGGCCATGGAAATCAAGGATGTGGACACACAAAAGGCGAGGTTAGAGCAGAAGTTTAATAGGTGAAATGAAAAAAAAAACCAGCTCTCTGTCATAGAGAGGGGTCCTGAACCGGTTGCCGTGCTGGAGTAAAAAGTAAGGGTTTTTATACATGAGCTAGTGGGGAGGGGATATCTTATCTACATAGGGTGTAAACAACTGGTTAGGACCAGGCATGCCATATACAGAGAGCAGAGTCTCTGGCAGCCCCCATCCCACTCTTATCATGCAGGTGAGCTCTCAGCTTGGGGTACTCCATGCTGCTTATCGCCTTCCACTGTGCATGTGCTAAAAAAAGGTAGGGGGAGTTTCTGTTTCTTGTCCCAGGTATCTCCTTGCAGCTGCAGGCACTTCCCTGACCCCCATGCAAGCTTCCAGCTTTCCTATCTTAGTGTGCCCAAAAAATGGGAAAGGAATGTGCACATTAAGGCTCACTGTTTTTACTGGGACCCATCATATGTATATGAAGTTTGGTGATTACCCAGGAAACTCTCTGTGCTGGAGTTGCTTATCTATATTTCACAGCCCAATCTTCTAGGCTGTTCTTTGTTAGAAGAGAAGTGATTTCTTGAAACAGTGTGTGATTAGAAAGGAAGTAATTTCTGAGCTGCTTCTTGTTAGAAGAAAAATTCCTGCCAGGGACTCTTTTACCTTAACTATCTACCTAAATAATTTCTTTCTATCTCCTATCTCACTTCTTTCTATCTTGCTGAGATATGCCAGGTGATGAGACACACCCACTCATTTTCCCCAGGGCAGTACACTATAATGCCATGGGGGGATGCAAGATATACATCTCTTCCTTCATCCTTAAGTGGGGTCTCGGGATTGTGCACCTTCTCTCTATCCTGTAGAGTCATGCTGGCTCCTGATAGCGTCCCACTCCTTTTCTCTAGGGAATTGCATTGAAGTGTTGGGAGATTGAGATCAAGATCCATTTCTTTCCCTCCCTTGTGGATATGAAGTTTCTCAGAATTATGCATCTTCTGTTAATCCTGCAGAGTAGTGCCTGTTGCTCATAGCCACCAACCACTTTTCCCTACAGGAGTCCATTGGAATGCCAGAAGCCGGGTGCAAGTTCTACTTTTCTCCCTTTTTTCTGAGGAGAAGTGTTAGGATTGTGTATTATTTCTCAATCCCACAGAACCTTGCAGACTTCTGAGAGGTGCTTGCTTCTTTTTCCTAGTGTGGTGCACTACAACTCTGGGAGACAGAGAGCAACCTCCACTTTTCTCCCACCCTCCTAAAAGTGAAGTCTTGAAAATTGTGCACCTACTTTCAATCCTTCAGAGCTTTTTAGGCTGCTGAGAGCCGCCATCTTTTTTTTTGTTCTTATCTGTTCCCAGGCATTTTAACTAAGCTGGTTGCCTCAGCATTCTGAGGAAGATGCAACAGACATAGATCTCTCAAGCATTGCTCTTTATGGCTGAGGATGTCAGATGCATGCTTCAGTCAGTCTTTCCCCTGAGGGAGAAATCATGGGCCTAGTGGATGTTTCTTGGCACTGAGCTGTGCTAGCTTCTGGGAGAGGTTCACATGGTTAAAGGTAAACAGCTCTTATTACCTGTTTCCAAGTTGTTTTTCTTTATTTTGTGCTTATCTGAGGTGTTGCAACTTCTTACTTGGATTCTGGAGGCCTTAGAAAGGTAATTTGGCCCAAGTATTTTTGTTTTATTATTGTTTCTGTGAGTAGATGAGGGCTGAGACCTCCTGTTCTGCCATCTTGCTGACATCACTTGACATTATATTGTATATAGAAAATCCTAAAATTCCACACAACCAATCCATACACACATTTGAGTGTAATAAACTCATCATACTTTGATGTTTGGCTTCTGACAGCTTTTCAGCCTCACGTCTACTTTTTCTACCCTGTATCTGGGAAAGCTAATAAGAATGCCTAGTTGTTCCCTTTTTGGTGTTGGCATAAAGTTGAAAGCATGCAAACTTTATCCACACATGAGAACCTTCACCACAGCTTCACTTTCTAATACCATAAAAACTCTCAAACAACTTTCCTTTCTGTGTTCTCTCAAGTGACTTTGGACATACTTAAAAAGTTTGCACTGCTATCCAAGAAACTCAATATGTGTGTCGTAAGCCTTTTCTTAGCTGATTAGTATGTTTGTGGCATCATCAATATTAACAGCTAAGATCAATTTTTGGTGTGGGACTGTAGTCTTCTGTTTCTGTAATATGTCCATAACAAATTACTGCTATCAGCAGGATGTACAGGCACTGGTCATGTCCACCAGAATCATACCCCTCTTCCTTTGGCTTATGAACTGTCTCTGCTACTTGTTGTTGACAATAGTCTTTGAGCTACTGTTTGTTGACTAGCATGCTCTCTCAGCATGCTAGTCAACAATGTACCATTGCTGGCTGGCCAGTTTGACTTCTGAGTTGTGCAGCTTTGTACTGTGTTTGCTGAGTTATACTGAGCTTTTGTTACACATTTACCAGAATTAAGTTGTGTAGCTCCTTTGAAAGTCAGTTTGAAAGTTTCTCAAAAAATTACACATAAAATTACCCTATGACAAATCAATCAAATTCTTAGGTATATGTGAAAAATAATTAAAAGTATATGTCTATACACAAAAATATTTGTAATGATGTCATTTATAATATTAAAACAGTGGGAAAATCCTAAACGTTTATTAACTGATGATTGGCTATAGAAAATGTGTATACTCTTACAATGGGATATTTTTCAGCCATAAAAAGGTATAAAGTATTAATACATGCTCCAACACGGACAAAACTTGGAAACATGCTAAGTGAAAGAAGACAAACACAAAAACACATGTATTGTATAATGCCATTTAATGAAATGTCTACTGTAGCCTAATATGGAGAGACACAGTAAATTAGTAGTTATCAGGGGCTGAGCAAAAGAAGTTTGTGGAATAATTAGTAAGGAATGTGTTCCTTTTTGGGGTGATGAAAATATTTTCAATTATATAGTGGTGATGGTTGCACAGCCTTATGAATATACCAAACATCACTAAATTGTACACAGTAAAAATATAAATTATATGGTATGTGAATTCTATTTCAATACTGATAGTAATAAAAAATTAAGTCATTAAGTCTTAAGTAAGTACTTAGTAAGTAAGAACCTCATTAAGTCTTACCTACACTCAAGGGGACAGAAATTAGCCTTCCCTTCTTAAATGGATTAGTATTAAGTAATTATTGAACATACTTTTAAAGCTAGTACATGATCTCATATAAATCTACACTTTTGTTTTATGAAATCTTAACCATCCTATTGCTTTTTCTGTCATCTTTTCCCTGAAGAGTCTCAAATCTGCATCTCTAGGCTTGATTTTTGTCCTCAGTGCCAGACCTGCATATTCTACTGTCTGTAAGGCAGCTCACACTTTAATTTTGATGTGTGAAAACTGAATGCATCATATCACTTCTCACCTTTGCCTTCAAATTTTCTCTACTACCCTATGTGTGGTAGCCATAATTTTTCTTCAAGAAAAAATCCTGCAGTTTTCAAGTAATACATCTTTTAGTTCCATCTCAGTACTTACACTGAGGTCATGCTCTCCCTGGGCTGTTCTGGGCCAATGATTGGACATAGGAGAAATACTAAATCTGGGTAATTTCTGCCTAAAGTGGGACACTTTTAATAGGCAATGTTTATTTTGGCCCTTTTTATTATTTTAGATGAAGCTTTCTTCAAAGATGCACTGCAGTCTGATGAAATTTAATCAAATTCTTCTTTTTTTCTGTTTTCATTGGTGTCAGGCTATACTGCAATCTAATTGATCTTCTTGCCTACTCCTCATATCTTTTTCTTCTATCCTTCACAGGAATTTTCTCAAATAAATCTTATAATTCATACTCCTTCTCTAAATCTTATTTCTTGGGATCTGAATTGACACATCATGTTACTTTTCTCATAGGAATTACACCATCATTTGCTTAATCACTCAAGCAAAAAAAATTGAGATTACTCTTATCTATTATTTCCACTGCACATTCTACAACCAATTTGCTACCAAATCCCAATGATTCACTGGTCTCAATATTTCTAGATCTCTTCTCTTTATTACCACTCTTAATGTCTTTGTTAATGTCTCTTAATTTCAAATTTGTCTTGTTCAATAGTCACTGAAACTGATTGCTGTAACTCTTGGCTGATTATAATAACAACTATGGATAACATATATTGTGTATTTGGATAATGGATAACATATATTGTATATTTACTATATGTGAGACTATGCTAAGAACTCTCTGTGCATAATTTTAATTCTTAAAATAACACTATGAGGTAGGTATTATTATTATTATCTCTTTACAAAACATTAGTTTCACTACAAAATGAGAAAGAAAGAAATAAAATTTCCCATGGTCCAATGCATTTGGAAAACACTGGGTTAAGTAAAATTAAACATGTTCTCTTACTGTAAGACTTCTTAACTTTTACTATGCTAATTTTCATTATTAATTTTCAACAGGAAGAAAAGGTGATCATGCCCAAAATTATTTGGCCACAGAACTCCATCCTCAAAGAGCAAGTCATGGGACTCTATAGAGTACATTTTGATAAACACTTTACAAGGCATTTCTTAAAAAGTGCTTTCTAATATTTTTCACACATGACACCCATCAAAACTGAAAATATTTGTATAACTTACTGGACAATACTGCAATCTAATTGATCTCCTTGCCTACTCCTCAATAGAGGAGTACTGGAATACTCCTCTATTCTGTCTCTGTCTATACAGAGACAGAAGCTCAGGGCTGGCCAATGTTGAGCCCTAGGCCCCACTTGGCTTTCTCAAACATTGAGGAGAATAATACACTGGCATTCTTCTAACTCGTTCCTAACACACCAGTGAGCCCCTGTAAAGTCATTAGTAAGCTCTTCCCCAAAATATAGAGTATGAGCTGATGATCTAAGACCAAGGCAAAACAACAAAAATGAAAGTTTTTCACTTATGTTTTAGCCTTTCAATAACTTTTTAAGCCCAATTTACTCAGGAAGTTTGAGGTTCATATTTTTAATAATGTTTTTTGCAAGTAATATTGAAGTGAGGCAGGGAAATACAGGGAAGGGAAGGGTGTGGTTCCTGGCTAGGGCTCCAACCCCATGCTTGTGCTCAAGAACATAGGTGAAGACAGGCATTTCTGTTTTCCTGCCCAAATATTGCATTTTCCAAGACCATCCTGATCCACCATTCCTCCATCATGTGCCTAAAAAAACCTCAATACTTTAGCAGGCCGGCACGCAAGCAGAGAGGAACGCACTGGCATAAGAGCTCACCAACAGATATCGGCATACCAGCAGGCCATCAACAGGTGGAACAGTGTGGAGTTTGGCCAGGACAGTTGGAGGAGAGCCCCAGCCGCTGAGTGGCCCAACTCCAGGGGAAAACCACCTTCCCACTCCATCTCCCTTCTGGCTCCCCGATCTGCTGAAGAGCTACTTCCTCTCAATAAAACTTTGCACTCATTCTCCAAGCCCACGTGTGATCCAATTCTTCCAGTACACCAAGGCAAGAAACCGCAGGATACAGAAAGCCGTCTGTCCTTGCGATAAGGCAGTTGGTCTACTTGAGCTGACTAACACAATGGCCACCTATGGGAGGCTAAACTGAAAGGGCATACTGTAACACATTCACTCCTAGACACTGCCTTGTGGTCGGAGCTCCACAACTTAGCCATCTGCGAGCTCCCTCTAGAGGTTTGAGCACAGGGGCACTGAAGAAGCACATCACACCCCCATTGCACACCCTGCAGAGGGGACAAGGAAACATTTTTAGTTTCAAAAGCAGTTGGTTTTAATATACTTTTAAATCTTCTGTTATCCTATCAGAACCATTTCTGAACCACATGAGAAAGCATGTAAATTTTATTTTGTGAATTAGGGGTTTGTGTGTGTGTCCTCACGGGCCTAGCCACAATGTAGTGGAGGCTCAAAGGCAGAAGAAATACGTCATTTCCAATAAGTGCCCCCAAATTTTATATATATATATATATATATATATATATATGTATTTTAAATAGATGTAGAATTTGCAGTTTTAAGGGTATTTAAAATAAAATTTACCTGCCGTGAAGCCTATCACACTTTTCTTTGGGGAATTACACAGGAAAGAGTATGCTTTCTTTTCTATTAATGATTATCTAGTTCTCCAAAAAGATCTTTTAATGGCCACAGTTTTCTTCAGGAACTGCTTAAAGTCAGCGAGACAGTGCTTTGCTACTATACTTTCCTGTACAGTCGTTATTTTTTGACTTACTGTTGCATCTCATGAACTTAGGAATCTTTCTGTTTTCTCCCTGTATTCTGTTAATGTGTAGAAATTGCAGTTTAAAGAAAATAATTGACATTTCTTTTTCACTTTATAATTCTTTCTTGGCTTTGTTACACAATTTAGGTAATTTCAAGTATGCATTTTTATCACTCTCAAGCAGTATTAATATAGACCCACTGAAAACCAGCAGAAGTATCTTAAGACCCAGGTCGCTGCTGGAGTGACCACAAAAAAAGTCAACAAATTCAATAAGATTGAATTATATCAAATATATTTTCCACTACAATGGTATGAAACTATAAGTCAATAACAGAAGTCAAACTGGAAAATTCACAGACATATGCAAATTAAATAACACACTCCTGATCAACTAACCGGTAACAGGAGAAACTAAAAGGGAAAATCAAAAAAATATTTTTAACTAAGGAAAATGGAAGCAAAGGATACAAAATCTTAGGGGATACAGCAAAAGCAGCTCTAAGCAGCAATAAACGCCCACATCAAAAAGGTAGAAAGATCTCAAACAACCTAACTTTATACTTCAAAAAACTAGGAAAAGAAGACCAAACTAAACCCTAAGTTGGTAGAAGGAAAAAAGATAATAAATATCAGAGCAGAAATAAATGAAATAGACCCTAAAATACATTAGAAAAAATAAACAAAACTGAGGTTTTTTTTCAAAATATAATTAAGATAATCGTAGCTAGTCTAAGAAAAACAAAAGTGTCAAATAAAAACAGAAAGCGGAATCATTACAACTGATACCATATATACAAAGGATCATAAAAGATGATTATGAACAATTATATGAAAAAAATTAGGTAGCCTAGAAGAAATGGATAAATTCCTAAGCATATACAACCTATCAAGAATGAATCATGAAGAAAAAGAAAGTCTGAGCAGACTAATAATGAGTAAGAAGATTGAATAGGTAATAACAAGTATTTCAGGTCTTGATAGCTCTACTACTGAATTTTGCCAAACATTTAAAAACCAAATGATACCAATTTTTCTCAAACTCTTTCAAAAAATTAAATAGAAGATACTTCCAAGTTCATTTTAGGAGACCAGCATTACTCTGATATCAAATCTGAACAAGAAGACTACAAGAAAAGAAATTTTCAGGCCAATGTTTTTTATAAACATAGATGCCAAAATCTTCACAAAATGCTAGGAAATCAAATTCAACAGCACTTCTAAGAGATCATTTACTGGCCAAATGCAGTGGCTCATGCCTGTAATCCCAGCGCTTTGGGAGGCTGAGGCGGGCGGATCACGAGGTCAGCAGTTCAAGACCAGCTTGGCCAACATGGTGGAACCCCATCTCTGCTAAAAATACAAAAATTAGCCAGGCATGGTGGCGGGCACCTGTAATCCCAGCTACTCCAGAGGCTGAGGACGGAGAATCGCTTGAACCCGGGAGGCAGAGGTTGCAGTGAGCTGAGACTGCGCCATTGCACTCCAGCCTGGGCGACAGAGCAAGACTCCGTCACAAAAAAAATAAATAAATAAAAAAGAAAAAGAAAAAAAAAAAAAGAAAGAGATCATTTACCATGATCAAATGGGATTTATCCCATGGATGCAAGGACGGTTCAACAGACACACACACACACATATGCACACACACACACACACGCACACATTCACACACATCTATAAATGCAATACACCACATTAAAAGAATGAAAGACAAAACAATATGACCATTTCAATAGATGCAAAAAAAGTAACAAAATTCAATGTCCTTCTGATAAAAGTAAATAAATTAGGTATAAAAGGAACCAACCTTAACACAATAAAGATTATATATCATGAGCCTACAAAAAATCGTACTAACTGCTAAAAGTTAGAAGCTTTTCCTCTATGATCACCAGCAAGAATAAAGGCCTACCGTATCCACTTCTATTTGACATAGTACTAAGATTTCTATTCAGATCATTGAGATAAAAGAAAAAACATAAACTGCACCTAAATAAGGAAGATGTAAAATCATCTCTGTTTGCAGATAACGTGATCTTTATGTATTAAAAATACCCTACAAATTCCACAAAAAATGGTTAGAAATAATAAATGAATTCAGTAATGTTGCAGGATAAAAAGCAATATACAAAAATCAGTAGTGTTTTCATATACTAGCAATGAACTATCCAAAAAAGAAATTTAGAAAATAACATTACTTTTTAAAAAACTTTTATATTAGTTTCAAGGGTACATGTGCAGGCTTATTATATAGGAAAATCATGTGTACAGGTTACACATGTGTACAGGTGTACAGGTTATTTCATCACATCGTAATAAGCACAGTACCCAATAGGTTGTTTTTTGATCCTCATCCTCCACCCACCTTGCACGTTGAATTATGCCTTGGTGTCTATTGTTTTCTTTGTGTCCATGTGCACTCAATGTTTAGCTCCCTGTTGTAAGTGAGGACGTGCAGTACTTGGTTTTCTGTTAATTAGGGTAATGGACTGCAGCTCAATTCTTATTGCTGCATGACATGGTCTCATTTTTTAAATGTCTTCTTACTATTTCATGGTGTACATGTACATTTTTGTTATTCAGCCTACTGTTGATGGACATCTAGGTGGATTCTATGTCTTTGTTATTGTGAATACTGATACAATCAACATACCCATGCATGTGTCTTCATGGTAGAACAATTTATACTCCTTTGGATATGTACCCAATAATGGGATTGATGGGTTGAATGGCAGTTCTATTTTAAGTTCTTTGAGGAAATGCCAAACTGCTTTTTACAGTGGCTGAATTAATTTACATTACCAACAGCAGTTTATAAGCATTATCTTTTCTCTGCAACTTTACCAGCATGTGATTCTTTGACTTTTTAGTAATAGCCATTCTTACTAGTGTGAGATGGTATCTCATTGTGGTTTTGATGTGCATTTCTCTAACAATTAGTACTGCTGAGTATTTTTTTTTCATATGCTTCTTCTTTGTCACATGTGTGTCTTCTTTTGAGAAGTGACTGTTTGTGTCTTTTGCCTACTGTTTAATGGAGTTGTTTTCTGCTTGTTAATTTAAGTTCCTTATAGATTCTGGATATTAGGCCTTTGTTGGATACATAGTTTGCAAATATTTTCTTCCATTTTGTGAGTTTTCTGTTTACTGTTTGGATAGTTTCTTTTGCTGGGTAGAAGATCTTTAGTTTAATTAGGTTCCACTAATTTAGTTTTGTTTTTGTTGCAATTGCTTTTGGCATCTTCATCATGAAATTATTGCCAGAGCCTACATTCAGAATGGTATTTTCTAAAATTTCTGAAGGAGTGTTTATAGTTTTAGGTTTTACATTTAAGTATTTAATTAATTTTGAGTTACCTTTTGTAGATGATGTAAGAAAGGGCTGAAATTACCATCTTCTGCATATGGCTAGCCAGTTATACTGGTACAATTTATAGAATAGAGCGACCTTTTCCCATTGATTGTTTTTGTTGATTTTATTGAAGATCAGATGGTTGTAGCTGTGTGGCTTTATTTCTGGGCTTTCTATTATGTTTCATTTGTCTATATATCTGTTTTTGTACAAGTGTCATGTTGTTTAGGTTGCTATAACCTTTTGGTATAGTTTGAAGTCGGGTAATGCAGTGCCTTCAGCTTTGTTTTTTTTGCTCAGGATTTCTTTAGCTATTCTGGCTCTTTTTTTGTTCCATATGAATTTTTAATTTTTTTTCAATTATGTCAAGAATGTCATTTTTAGTTTGGTGAGAATAGTGTTGAATCTGTGAATTGTTTTGGGCAGTGTGGTCATTGTAAGAACATTGATTCTTTCTATCCTTGAGCATGAAATGTTTTCCCATTTGTTCGTGTCATATTTGATTGGTTTCATCAGTGTTTTATAATTTTCATTGTAGAGATCTTTCACCTCCTTCATTAGTTGTACTCCTAGGTATTTTATTTCTGTATGGCTATTGTGAATGGAATTTTATTATTGATTTTGCACTCAGCTTGAATGTTTTTGATGTATAGAAATGCTACTGATTTTTGTACATTGATTTTGTACCTGAAATTTGCTGAAGTTGTTTGTCAGATCTAGGCGTTTTTGGGCAGAGCCTATGGGATTTGCTTGGCATAAAATCACATTGTCTGCAAACAGAAATAATTTGACTTCCTCTTTTACTATTTGGATGCCTTTTATTTCTTTCTCTTGCCTGATTACTCTGGTTAGAACTTCCATTATTTTGTTCAATAGGAGTGGTGAAAGTAGTCATCTCTGTCATGTTCTGATTCTGAAGGGGAATGCTTCCAGCTTTGGCCCTTTCTGTATAATACTGGCTATGTGTTTGTCATAAATGGCTCTTATTATTTTGATGAATGTTCCTTCAATGCCTCATTTGTTGAGGGTTTTTAACATGAAGTGATGTTGAATTTTATTAAAATTTTTTTTCCTGCATCTATTCAGATAATCATGTGATCTTTTGATTTTAATTCTGTTTATGGAATGAATCACATTTATTGATATGTGTATGTTCAACCAACCTTGCATCACAGAGATAAGGCCTACTTGATCATGGTGGATTAGCTTTTGGATGTGCTGCTGAATTTGGCCTGATAGTATTTTGTTAAGGATTTTGGCATCTATTTTCTTCAAAGATATTGACCTGAAATTTTCTTGTTTGCTCTATGTCTGCCAGGGTTAGTATCAGAATGATGCTTGCCTCACAGAATGAGTTAGGGAGGAGTCCATCTTCCTTAATTTTTTTTTTTTTGGAATGGTTTCCATAGTAATGGTACCAGCTATTCTTTATATGACTGGCAGTATTTTTCGCTGACTCCGTCTGGTCTAGGGATTTTTCTGTTTTGTAGGCCTCTTATTATGGATTCAATGTTATGACTCTTTGTTGGTCTGTTCAGGTATTTAATTTCTTTTTGGGTCAATCGTGGGAAGTTGTTTTCAGGTATTTATCCATTTCTTCTAGGTTTTCTAGATTGTGTACATAAAGATGATTGTAATAGTTTCTAAGGGTTTTTTTCTACTTCTGTGAGGACAATGGCAATATCTTCTTTGTTATTTCTGATCATTTGTTTGGTTCTTTTCTTTTATTTTCTTTATTAATCTAACTAGATGTCTATTAATCTTATTTGTCCTTTCAAAGAACCACTCCTAGATTCATTGATCTTTTGTATGTTTTTTCGTGTATCAGTTTCATTCAGTTAAACTCTGATTTTGATTATTTCTTGTCTTCTGCTATGTTTCAGGTTGGTTTGCTCTTGTTTTTCTCATTCCTCCAAGTGCGATGTTAGGTTGTTAATTTGAAATCTTCTAATTTCTTTATGTGAACGTTTAGCACTATAAACATTCCACTTAAACTGCTTTAGCTGTGTGCAGGAGATTCTGGTATGTTTTATCTTTGTTCTCATTAGTTTCAAAAAATTTCTTAATTTCTGCCTTAATTTTATTGTTTTCCCAGAAGTCATTCAGTGGCAGGTTGTTTAATTTCCATGTAATTGTATGGTTCTGAGAAATATTCTTAATATTGGCTTTTAATATTATTCTGCTGTGTTCCAAGAGTGTGGTGGGTAAGATTTTTTTTTAATTTGCTGAGAAATACTTTATGGCCAATTCTGTAGTCAATTTTAGAGTTTGTGCCATGTGCAGATGACAAGAATGTATATGTTGCTGTATTTAGGTGGAATGTTTCGTAGATGTTTGTAAGGTCCATGTGGTCAAGTGTCAAGTTGAGTTCCTCAGTAACTTTTTTTAGTTTTCTGCCTCTATAATCTGTCTCATAGTGTCTGTGAGGTGTTGAAGTATCCCACTATTATTTTGTGGGAATCTAAGTCTCTTCATTGGTCTCTAATTAAACTTGCTTTATGAATTTGTTTGCTCCTGTGTTGGGGTCATACATATTCAGGATAGTTAGGTCCTCTTTATGAATTGAACCCTTTATCACTTGGAAATGCTTCTCTTTGCCTTTTTTTTTAATAATTGTTGTTTAAATGTCCTTTTTTCGTGTGTGAAATTAGAATAGCAATGCCTGTTTGTTTTTGTTTTCTATTTACTTGGTAGATTTTTCTAGATCCCTTTGCCTTCAGCCTATGGGTATCATTGCATGTGAGATGGGTCACTTGAAGACAGCATACAGTTGAGTTTTGCTTCTTTATCTAACTTACCACTATGTGCCCTTTAATTGGGGCTATTAGCCCATTTACATTCAAGGTTAATATTGATATATGTCAGATTTAATCATGTAAGCAGGTTGTTAGCTGGTGATTATGCAGACTTGATTGTGTAGCTGCTTTATAGTATCAGTGGGCTATGTACTTAAGTGTGTTGTTGTGATTGCTGGTAACAGGCTTTCGTTTCCACATTTAGCACTCCCTTAAAGACTTCTTGTAAGGCAGTTCTAGTGGTAACAAATTCACTTAGCTTTTCTTTGTCTGAAAAAGAATCTTATTTCTCCTTCACTTATGATGCTAAATTTGGCTGGATATGAAATTTTTGGTTGGTGTTTCTTTTCTTAAGGAATGCTGAATATGGCCCTCAATCTCTTCTGGCTTAGGGTTTCTGCTGAAAGTTCTGCTGTTAGTCTGATGGGGTTTCGGTTGTTGATGACCTGTCTCTTCTCTCTAGCTGCCTTTAATATTTTTACTTTCATGTCATCCTTGAAGAATCTTGTGACTAAGTGTCTTGGAGATTGTCATCTTGTCTATTATGCAGGGGTTCTCTTCATTTCCGTTATCTGAATGTTGGCCTCTCTAGTGAGTTTGGAAAAATTTTCATGGACAATATCCTGAAATATGTTTTCCAAGTTGCTTGTTTTCTCTCCCTCTCTTTCAGGGTTGCCAATGAGTTGTGTATTTGGTCTCTTTATATAATCTCATCTTTCATGGATATTTTGTTCATTCCTTTCATTCTTGTTTCTTTATTCTCATCTTACTGAGTTAATTTAAAAAACTAGTCTTCAAGCTACTCTCAGATTCTTTCCTCAGTTTTGTCTATTCTGCTGTTAATATTGTGATTGTGTTATCAAATACTTATAGTGTGTTTTCCAGCTCTATCAGATAGTTTGGTGCTTTCTTAAAATGGCCAGTTTCTATTTTAGCTCTTGTATTATTTTATTGTATTTCTTAACTATTTCAGATTGGATTTTGACTGTCTCCTGTATCTTGATGATCTTAATTTCTATCCATATTTTGAATTCTATGTCTGTTATTTCATTCATTTCAGCCTGGCTAAGAACTATTGTTGAGGAACAGGTGTGGTCATTTGGATGTAAGAAGATACTCTGGCTTTTTGAATTGCATGTGTTCTTGTGCTGGTTCTTTCTCATCTGTGTGGGCTGTTGTTCCTTTAATCATTGAAGCTGCTGTCCTTTGGATGTGGTTTTTTGCTCTTATCTTCCTTGATGCTCTTGGGGGCTTGATTTTGATATATGGTGGGTTTAGTCAAGTAGCCTTTATTCTTGAAGATTTCAGGAGAGCAAGGTTCAGCTCAGTCAGTCCTGGGCTGTGTGCTCTAATTCTGGGGGGCTGATACCAGGCTCCTGGATTTGTTCTCTGGCCCCTCAATTTCAGGAAACTGCTGCAGAGAAGAGGCCAAGGTGTGTCCATTCAGCTGCCCACAAAACTCCAATGGGGACCACCAGCCAAAGTGCTTCTTTAGGGCGGTGGTTGCATTATCTGTGCTTGCTCATGTGTACCAGCAGCCATGGTGATGTGGTTGGGTGCATGTGTGTCAGCTGGTGTGGGATGCTGGAGGGAATTTTTGCCTTAATTTTCACAGGCCCTGTATACTGGCAAAATATTTTGGTGTTGTATTTTGGGCTGTGATCCAGTAGTTGGTATCTAAGAGTTTTAAGACAGCAGACAGACTCTTACTCTGCTATAAGGCTCTTTTGTGTTTTGGTACAGTTGGCAGTAGTGTTCTTTGGTGGAAGATAGAGAAATATTCTCCTCACCTATTTCATTCTTGGGCCTTGGGGTAGCTTCCTTCAATCACTGGCTTCATGCTTGAATTTCTTTTGTTGGATCTGGTGCACAAGAACTGACTCAGACAGGTCCATGTTTGGCAGACAGGCTGTATCCTTGTGAGGTTGTCCTTGTGAATGGCCACAGAAGGAAAGTCTTCATGTATCCTCTCAAACCTGGAGTTGCGGTAATCTCTGGAACCTTAGGCAACAATCACATTTCTAATATCTACAAAAAAAGTGCATAGGAATAACTTTAACCAAAGAAATAAAATATTTCCTTAAGAAAATCTATAAAACATTGGTGAAAGATGTTGAAGAAGACACAAGCCAATGAAAAGATATTCTAGGCTCATTAATTAGAACAATTAATATGGTTAAAATATCCATATTACCCCCCAAAAATTTAAAGATTAAATGCAATTCCTGTCAGAATTCCAATGGAAATTTTCAAAGAAATGGAACAAACTATCCAAAAATTCATGTAGAACTGCAAAAGACAGTGAATACCCAAAGCAATATTAACCAAAAAGTGTAAAGTTAGAGATGTCACACTACATGACTTCAAAATATACTACAAAGCTATAGTAGTCAAAACAGCATGAAACTGGCAAAAAACAGACAGACAGACAGACAGACACACACACACCAATAGAGTAGATGGAATACAAGGCCCAGAAACAAATTCACATACTTAAGGTCAATTGATTCTTGGAAAAGATGCCAAGAACACACAGGTAAGGAAAAGGGAGTCTCTTAAAAAATGGTGCTTGGAAAGCTGGATAACTACATGTAGAGAAATAAAATTAGAGTCTCCTCTCACACCAAATACAAAATTCAACTTCAAATGGAATAAAGACTTAAATGTAAGGTCTGAAACTGTAAAACTAAACATAAAGGCAAATCCCATGACGTTGGTCTGGGAAATGATTTTTAAGATTTTTAAAATATAGCCCAAAAGCACAGGGAACAAAAGCATAAATTGACAAATGAGATTGTGTTAAACTAAAAATCTTCCATAAAGCCAAAAAAAAAAGTCAGCAGAGTGAAAAGATAACCTATGGAATGAAAGAACATATTTGGAAACTATACATCTGATAATGGGCTAATTTTAAAAATATATAAGGAACTCAAACAACTCAGTAGCAACAAAACAACCTGATTAAAAGTGAGCAAAGGACCTGAATAGACATATCTCAAAATAAGATATACAAATGGCCAACAGTGTATAGGAAAAAATGCTTACCATCTGTAATTGTCAGGGAAATGCAAATTAAAACCACAGTGAAATGTCACCTCATGTCAGTTAGGATGGCTGTGACTAGTATGAAGAATAAGTATTGGAGAGGACATGGAAAAAAGAAAAACCTCAACTCTTTGTGGGAGTGTAAATTAGCACAGCCATACAGAAAAAAAGTATAGAGGTTCCTCAATAAATTAAAAATATAACTACTATATTATCCAGTAATATCACCACTGGGTCCAAAGAAAATGACATTAGAAGGATGAAGATATATCTACTCTCTCATGTTTATTGCAGCATTATTCAAAATAGTCATGATATGGTATGAACCTAAGTGTTCATTAATAGAGGAATGGATCAAAAAGTTGTATATATATTCAATGGTATTCTATTTAACCTTCAAAAAGAAGAAAATCTTGTCATTTGGAACAACACAGATGAACTTTGAAGATATTATGCTAAGTGAAATAAGCCAGCTATAGAAAGACATAAACTGTATGACCTCACATATATTTGGAATCTAAAAATGTCAAACTCATAGATGCAGAGATTAGGATGGTGCCTACCAGGGATTAGTGGGTAGGGGATTGGGGAGATTTGATCAAAGGATACAAAGTTTCAATTGAGTAGGAGGAATACCTTGAAGATAACTATTGTATATCACTGTGACTACAGTTAGTAACAACACATTGTATATTTGCAAATTGTCAAGACAGTTTTTTTGTGATTTTCTTTGAGACAGGGTTTTGCTCTGTCAACCAGGATGGGGTGCGGTGGTTCCTGCACTTATCTTTGAGAACAAAGATAAGATCTCGGTTCACTGTAACCTCCGCCTCCCAGTTTCAAGAGATTCTCCCACCTCAGCTTCTCGAGTAGCTGCAATTACAGGTATGTGCCACTACGCCTGGATAATTTTTGTAGTTTTAGTAGAGACAGAGTTTCACCATGTTTGTCAGGCTGGTCTCGAACTCCTGACCTCTGGTTATCAGCCCGCCTTGGCCTCCCAAAGTGCTGGGATTACAGGTGTGAGCCACTGCACCCAACCAAGACAGTAGATTTTAAATTATCTTACTCCCCAAACACGATAATTTTTTGAGGTACTGCAAACGTTATTAGCTTGAGTCAGCCACTTCACAAAATATATGTATATCAAAATATCATTTTCACATCATAAATACATAAATTTTTATTTGCTATTTTTTTAAAAAATATGTTTTTAGCAGTGTTTATCTTCTTCTCACAGTGTAACATGATACAGAGTAAATATGTTTTCCACGCCTCTACTTATTGTCATTCTGCTTTCTAAGTTGAGCTCAACTTCCAACAATTTATATTTTGTACTTTCAGTGTCATAAAATATCTCCAAAAGTTTAGTTAATATGAAGTTTTTCTGGCATCTTTCCTCTGGAATATCTTCATAATTTTTGTCATAGCCACTTGCATTAAGTAATCCCTGAATCTGGGTGTAGGTTTTACAGCAGCATCCTTATCTGCTCTAGCAGCTTCACCAGATAATTAAATATTAATCAATTCATGATGAATTCTGAAATGCTGAAATTGGCCTTCACTGGCAGTAAACGTTTCTTCATTCTCCTTGTAGATGCCATTTTTTTCAATGTGGCAACCAACTTCAATGCTTTGGCCTGAACAGTAAACAAACTGATTGGGATTTGTTTACTATTATAATTTTTAATCCAAAGTGGAAGTAAATGTTCCATTTTAGCAATAAGTGGTGTCTGTTCCTAGTTCAATTTAAACTAAAAAAGGTTGATGCAACTTTGTCCTTTTTAAAAATCTTTTAAGTTCAGCGGTATCGGCACAGGTTTGTTACATAGGTAAACTTGTGTCATGTGGGTTTGTTGTACAGATTATTTCATCACCTAGGTATTAAGCCCAGTACCATTAGTTATTTCTCCTGATTCTCTCTCTCCTGCCACCCTCCACATTCTGATAGGCCCCATTGTTTGTTTTACCCCTCTCTGTGTACATGTATTCTCATCATTTAGCTCCAACTTATAAGTGAGAACATCTGATATATAGTTTTCTGTTCCTGAGTTAGTTAGCTAAGAATAATGGCCTCCAGCTGCATCCATGTCCCTACAAGGGATATGACGTTGTTCTTTTTTATAGCTGCCTAGTATTCCATGATGTATATACATCACATTTTCCTTATCCAGTCTATAATTGGTGGACATTTAGGTCGATTCCATGTCTTTATTATTGTGAATAGTGCTGCAATTATACATGTGTATGTGTCTGTGTAATAGAGTGATTTTTATAGTGAAATATAACAGATATTTCTTTGGGTATATACCCAGCAATGGGATTGTTGAGTCAAATTGTATTTCTGTCTTTAGGTCTTTGAGGAATCACTACACTGTCTTCCACAATGTTTGAATTAATTTGCATTTCCCCCAACAGCATTCCTTTTTCTTTGCAACCTCGCCATCATCTGTTATTTTTTGAACGTTTAATAATAGCGATTCTGACTCGTGTAAGATGGTATCTCATTGTGGTTTTGATTTGCATTTCTCTAATGATCAGTGATGTTGAGCTTTCTTCATATGATTGTTGGCCACATGTATATCTTATTTTGAAAAGTGCCTATTAATGTCTTTTGTCTACTTTTTAATGGGGTTGTTTTGTTTCTTGTAAATTTGTTTAAGTTCCTTGTAGACGTTGGTTATTAGACCTTTGTTGGATGTGCAGTTTTCAAAACTTTCTCACAATTCTGTAGGTTGCTTGTTTACTCTGTTGATAGTTTTTTTTCTGTGCAGTAACTCTTTAATTACATCCCTTTTGTCAAATTTTGCTTTAGATGCAATTGCCTTTGGCATCTTTGTTATGACATCTTTTGCCTGTGCTATGTCCTGAATGGTATTGTTTAGGTTGTTTTCCAGGGTTTTATTTTGTAGTTTTTGGTTTTATATTTAAGTCTTTAATCCATCTCGAATTGTTGATTTTTCTATGTGTTGTAAGGAAGGGGTCCAGCCTCAATCTTCTGCATATGACTAGCCAGTTATCCTATGACCATCTATTAAATAAGGAATCCTTTCCTCATTGCTTGTTTTTGTCAGCTATGTTGAAGATCAGATGATCATAGATGTATGGCCTTATTTCTGGGCTCTCTATTTTGTTCCACTGTTTGATGTGCCTGTTTTTGTACCAGTACCATGCTGTTTTGGTTACTGTAGCCTTGTAGTATAATTTGAAGTCTGGTAATGTGATGCCTGCAACTTTGTTCATTTTGCTCAGGATTTTCTTGGCTATTCAGGCTCTTTTCTGGTTTCATATAAATTAAAATTTTTTTTCTAGTTCTGTGAAGAATCTTAATGATTGCTTAATAGGAACAGCATTGAATCTATAAATTGCTTTGAGGAGTATGGCCATTTTAACTATATTTATTCTTCCTATCCATGAGCATGGAATTTTCTTTATTTGTTAGTGTCATCTCGGATTTCTTCGAACATTGGTTTGTAGTACTCCTTGTAGAGATCTTTCACCTCCGTAGTTAGCTGTATTCCTATGTATTTTATTCTTTTTGTGGCAATTGTAAATGAGAGTTTGTTCGTGATTTGGCTCTTTGCTTTACTGTTGTTGGTGTATAGGTATGCTCGTGATTTTTGCACATTGATTTTTTTATCCTGAAACATTGCTGAAGTTCTTTATCAGCTTAAGAAGATTTTGGGCTAAAACAATGGGATTTTATAGATATAGGATCATGTTGTCTGCAAACAGGGATAGTTTGACTTCCTCTCTTCCTATTTGAAAGCACTTTTTTCTTTCTCTTGCCTGATTGCCCTGGCCAGGACTTCCAATACTATGACTAATAGGAATGGCGAGAGAGGGCATACTTGTCTGGTGACAGTTTTCTAGGGGAATGATTTCAGCTTTTGCCAATTTAGTATGATGTTAGCTGTGGGTTTATCATATATAGCTCTTATTATTTTGAGGTATTGTCCTTCAGTACCTAGTTTATTGAGAGTTTTTAACATGAATGGATGTTGAATTTTATTGAATGCCTTTGCTGCCCTTATTGAGATAGTCATGTAGTTTTTGTTTTTAGTTCTGTTTATGTTATAAATTACATTTCTTGATTTGCATATGTTGAACCCACTTTACATCCCAGGGATAAAGCCTACTTGATCTTGGTGGATAAGCTTTTTTTTTTTTTTTTTTTTTTAATTTTTTTTTTTTTTAATTTTTTTTTTTTTTTTATTATACTCTAAGTTTTAAGGTACATGTGCACATTGTGCAGGTTAGTTACATATGTATACATGTGCCATGCTGGTGCGCTGCACCCACTAACGTGTCATCTAGCATTAGGTATATCTCCCAATGCTATCCCTCCCCCCTCCCCCGACCCCACCACAGTCCCCAGAGTGTGATATTCCCCTTCCTGTGTCCATGTGATCTCATTGTTCAATTCCCACCTATGAGTGAGAATATGCGGTGTTTGGTTTTTTGTTCTTGCGATAGTTTACTGAGAATGATGGTTTCCAATTTCATCCATGTCCCTACAAAGGACATGAACTCATCATTTTTTATGGCTGCATAGTATTCCATGGTGTATTTGTGCCACATTTTCTTAATCCAGTCTATCATTGTTGGACATTTGGCTTGGTTCCAAGTCTTTGCTATTGTGAATAGTGCCACAATAAACATACGTGTGCATGTGTCTTTATAGCAGCATGATTTATAATCCTTTGGGTATATACCCAGTAATGGGATGGCTGGGTCAAATGGTATTTCTAGTTCTAGATCCCTGAGGAATCGCCACACTGACTTCCACAATGGTTGAACTAGTTTACAGTCCCACCAACAGTGTAAAAGTGTTCCTATTTCTCCACATCCTCTCCAGCACCTGTTGTTTCCTGACTCTTTAATGATTGCCATTCTAACTGGTGTGAGATGGTATCTCATAGTGGTTTTGATTTGCATTTCTCTGATGGCCAGTGATGATGAGCATTTCTTCATGTGTTTTTTGGCTGCATAAATGTCTTCTTTTGAGAAGTGTCTGTTCATGTCCTTCGCCCACTTTTTGATGGGGTTGTTTGTTTTTTTCTTGTAAATTTGTTTGAGTTCATTGTAGATTCTGGATATTAGCCCTTTGTCAGATGAGTAGGTTGCGAAAATTTTCTCCCAAGACTAAACCAGGAAGAAGTTGAATCTCTGAATAGACCAATAACAGGCTCTGAAATTGTGGCAATAATCAATAGTTTACCAACCAAAAAGAGTCCAGGACCAGATGGATTCACAGCCGAATTCTACCAGAGGTACAAGGAGGAACTGGTACCATTCCTTCTGAAACTATTCCAATCAATAGAAAAAGAGGGAATCCTCCCTAACTCATTTTATGAGGCCAGCATCATTCTGATACCAAAGCCGGGCAGAGACACAACCAAAAAAGAGAATTTTAGACCAATATCCTTGATGAACATTGATGCAAAAATCCTCAATAAAATACTGGCAAACCGAATCCAGCAGCACATCAAAAAGCTTATCCACCATGATCAAGTGGGCTTCATCCCTGGGATGCAAGGCTGGTTCAATATACGCAATTCAATAAATGTAATCCAGCATATAAACAGAGCCAAAGACAAAAACCACATGATTATCTCAATAGATGCAGAAAAAGCCTTTGACAAAATTCAACAACCCTTCATGCTAAAAACTCTCAATAAATTAGGTATTGATGGGACGTATTTCAAAATAATAAGAGCTATCTATGACAAACCCACAACCAATATCATACTGAATGGGCAAAAACTGGAAGCATTCCCTTTGAAAACTGGCACAAGACAGGGATTCCCTCTCTCACCGCTCCTATTCAACATAGTGTTGGAAGTTCTGGCCAGGGCAATCAGGCAGGAGAAGGAAATAAAGGGTATTCAATTAGGAAAAGAGGAAGTCAAATTGTCCCTGTTTGCAGACGACATGATTGTTTATCTAGAAAACCCCATTGTCTCAGCCCAAAATCTCCTTAAGCTGATAAGCAACTTCAGCACAGTCTCAGGATACAAAATCAATGTACAAAAATCACAAGCATTCTCATACACCAACAACAGACAAACAGAGAGCCAAATCATGAGTGAACTCCCATTCACAATTGCTTCAAAGAGAATAAAATACCTAGGAATCCAACTTACAAGGGATGTGAAGGACCTCTTCAAGGAGAACTACAAACCACTGCTCAAGGAAATAAAAGAGGACACAAACAAATGGAAGAACATTCCATGCTCATGGGTAGGAAGAATCAATATCGTGAAAATGGCCATACTGCCCAAGGTAATTTACAGATTCAATGCCATCCCCATCAAGCTACCAATGACTTTCTTCACAGAATTGGAAAAAACTACTTTAAAGTTCATATGGAACCAAAAAAGAGCCCGCATCGCCAAGTCAATCCTAAGCCAAAAGAACAAAGCTGGAGGCATCGCACTACCTGACTTCAAACTATACTACAAGGCTACAGTAACCAAAACAGCATGGTACTGGTACCAAAACAGAGATATAGATCAATGGAACAGAACAGAGCCCTCAGAAATAATGCCGCATATCTACAACTATCTGATCTTTGACAAACCTGAGAAAAACAAGCAATGGGGAAAGGATTCCCTATTTAATAAATGGTGCTGGGAAAACTGGCTAGCCATATGTAGAAAGCTGAAACTGGATCCCTTCCTTACACCTTATACAAAAATCAATTCAAGATGGATTAAAGATTTAAACGTTAGACCTAAAACCATAAAAACCCTAGAAGAAAACCTAGGCATTACCATTCAGGACATAGGCGTGGGCAAGGACTTCATGTCCAAAACACCAAAAGCAATGGCAACAAAAGCCAAAATTGACAAATGGGATCTAATTAAACTAAAGAGCTTCTGCACAGCAAAAGAAACTACCATCAGAGTGAACAGGCAACCTACAACGTGGATAAGCTTTTTGATGTAATGCTGGATACGAATTGCCTGTATTTTGTTGAGAATTTTTTCATCGATATTCTTCAAAGAGATTGACCTGACGTTTTATTTTTGTGCTGAATCACTGGCAGGTTTTGGTATGAGGATAATGCTGGCCTCATATAATAAGTTAGGAAGATGTCCCGGTTTTTCAATTTTTTGGAATAGTTTCAGTAGAAGTGGTACCAGCTCTTTGTACCTCTGACAGAATTCAGCTGTGAATCCATCTGATCCAGGAATCTTTTGCTTGTTAGGTTATGTATTACTGCCTCAATTTCAGACTCATTATTGGTCTGTTGAGAGATTCAATTTCTTACTGGAACAATTTTGGGAGTGTGTGTGTATCCAGGAATTTATCAAATTTCTTTTAGATTTTCCAGTTTATGTGCATAGAAGTGTTTATAATATTCTCTGATGGTTGTATTTCTGTGGGGTCAGTGGTAATATTCCCTTTGTCATTTTTTATTTTGTTTATTTGAATCTTCTCTCTTCTTATTACTCCTGTTTCTTTTTCATCAAACTTTTTCAATATGGTTCATACTATGGCTTCATGCAGGCCTAGGCCTCATCTCCTTTACTGTTACTATTTTCAAATATTTTAATCACATCCAATTTCACTTGCAGCATTCTTTATCACTTTTCATTTATTTAATAAACTTCCATCTATGTTGGTCAGTTTCCTATTTCAATGATCCGTTTTCATAAAATGCCTCATGAATTTACCCATGTCAGATAAGGAAGGAACAGAGCTACTTGCTTTGCCTTTTCTGTGTGAACCAAATTACATCTGCTCTGACCAATCTACAATGGACTTTGAAATAATTGATGAGGTTGGTCACCTATTATGCTGTGCATGCCATTTGTGTAGTTATTTGTAGATGGAAAAAATAGCAGTAAAATTTGGACTTTATGCAGTTACTCAGTTAATACTCTATGGTAAGTGAAATCTAAACCATGTTTTTAGGAGACGTGTGCTATTTAAGTAAATTGTGGAAAATGAATTTCATTCTTATAAGAATTATGCAAAGCAAGAGCTGCTTGTCTTTGTTAAATAAGTTTATTCCATTATAAAGATGTCCCCAAAGGAAATCTGAGGCATATGGCTTTGTTGATGAACACTTGCAAATATGTGGAAGAAATAACTTCAATATTCCACCTACTCATCCAAGGAATAGAAAAGAAAGACCCACATTGCAACTTTTTTTGAGGCTAGCAGAAGTTTAATATTAAAATTGTATAGGGACATCACCAGAAAGGAAAATTACAGATCAATATTTCTCCCAAGCATAGATGCAGATATCTTGAAAAGAGCATTAACAAATTAACACTGATGATATACGAAAAGAATAATAAAGTATAATAAATTATGATTTAATATAGAAATGAAAAGCTAGTTTAACATTTTAAAATTAATCAGTGTAATCCACTTCGCTAATAAGGAGAAAGTGAGAAATCACATATGGCAATTTTGATAGATGCAGAAAAGAGCAATTGGTTTAAACTCTTAGCAAATGAGAAATACAAGGGAACTTTCTTAATCTGATTGAAAGTATGTGTCTAGAAAATCTATGGAAAACATCTTCCTCAATGGAAAATTATTGAAAGCGTCCCTTGTGTGATTGGGAATGAAACAGAATGTCTGCTACCACCACTTCTAGTCAGCTTTTTATTTGTAGTTTTAGTCAGTGCAATAAAGCAAGAAATATAAATTTATAGCATAAGGATAACAAAAAAAGAAATAGAACTTTTGTTATTAGTAGACAGCCTGACTTGTTATGTAGAAAATGCAAAGTATTTACAAACAAACAATAATATTAGATTTAGTAAATAAATTTAGAAATGTCTCTTGATAAAAGATCAATATTAAATATCAATGCATTTCCATATCCAACAAAAAATCAACTTAAAAATATGTATTTTATAATAGCTTTAATAACTTCAAATAATTAGAAATAAATGTAACAAAAATATGTAAGATCTCTACAGTGAAAACAATCAGGTATTATTGAGAAAAAATAAATATGACCTTAATAAATAACTGAATAGATCATGCTCATAGATTAGAAGACTCAATATTGAAAGGTATCCTTTACCACTAAATTATTTTAGAGATTCAATAAAATTTCTGTAAAAACCTCGGTAGGTGTTTTGTGGGAATTGATAAGCAAATTCCTAAATTTGTATTGAGATACCAGTGTCTGAAAGTAGCCAAAGTGTTCTTGAAGATGAATAACAATGCTGGAAAGCTTATATTACCTGATATTAAAATCTGTTTTAACACCATAATAGTTAAAGCGGTATGACATTGGTGTATTAATAGACAAATAGATCAATGGAATTAAATAGAAAGTTAAGAAATGGACCCACAAATATATTTATCTGTCTCATGAAAAAATTAACACTGAAGTAGAGTGAGGAAATAATGGTCTTTTCAATAAGTAATGTTTGATCTATTGAGTAGTTATAATAAAACAATGTAGATAAATTCCTAATTCATACTGTACACAAAAAGTAATTCCATATGTGAAAGGTATAATATTTATATATATAACACATATATACATATACTATATATATTTATATAAACACACACACACACACACATATATAGGACAGAGGACATGTATCCAGAGGATAAAGACCTCCCATTAATCTATTTATTGATTGATTGATTTATATTATCTCCCACATTGACATTTATCACATTAACATTTCTGGCAGAAGCAAGTAAGAAGATTAATCACTGAATTTACATTGACAAGTTTCATTTTGATTCATTAGCCAATTTGGAAAAAATCAATATTGATCAAAGTTATTAAAATTAAAAAGCACATTTTTCTTGCTACTTATAATATTTTTAACTAAAACTCTAAGCAGATAACAGGTGCAAAATCCAACTGCAGGTTTGTTTTAATTGACCATAACATAAACTTCTTGTTTACATTTTTAAAAAGTCATTTATTTATTTAATTATTTAATAACCGTATGTTCTTTTGAGCAGAAAACTGCAAAGACATTTGTAAGAATTATACTCCATAGTGAATACCCATGTACTTATACTGAATTCTTGTGTCACTAAGAATCTTAACCCTATTCTAAGACTTCTTGAAATAACTCACAACTATCACTTTTTTGGAAATATTTTTTCATATTTTGGCCAACAGCTGAAGGGATTTTACTCCAAAATATAGGGCTCGAATTCAAACTTCCAGCACTCCCATCCCTAGTCAACACAATTATGAATATTCAGTATCTAAGTTACCTCTTAGATTATCAACATTTCAGAACTGTGCTTGATAAATGACCTTTGAAAAAGAATAACAAATATAGAAATAATTAGCTGAATTTATACTCCTGAAGCCTCTTCATCTTTAAGCTTTATACTTACTGTGTTTTCCAGGAGAAATTAAAGAAAAAGGTTGCACTAATTATTTGTCAAGCTCAGTTCCAGATGTCTGCTTAAGACTTTCAGTTTATGCAGAGGCGAATCATTATCCTCTGAAATTATAGCACATTACTTCTTGTAGAACTAATAGTAAAATACATCAATCCAAATCTTATGAAAGCAAGACATTTTTAGAAGTAACTAGTATATAAAAATTTCAACATCGGTGGTTTAAATATAAAAATTATTTTTAATTCAAAGTATGCAACAAATAAAACCTACAGAAAACAGATTTTCCCATTGCAATCCGTTGCTTTACCAAATAATATTTTGAAAACACATTCCTTCAGTCATTAAGCCATTATAAAGTCCTTTTTTTTTTCTGAGACAGAGTATCACTTTGTCACCCAGGCTGGAATGCAGTGGAGCCATCTTGGCTCACTGCCACCTCGGCCTCATGGGTTCAAGCTATCCTTCTGCTTCAGCCCCCCGAGGAGCTGGAACTACAGGCATGCGCCACCACACCAGGCTAATTTTCCTATTTTTGGTAGAGACAGGGTTTTACCATGTTGTCCAGGCCGGTTTTAAACTCTTAAACTCAAGTGATCTACTGGCCTCAGCCTCCCAAAGAGCTAGGATTACAGGTGTGAACCACTACACCAAGCTCATTATAAAGTTCTTAAAATACAAAAGAAATTAAATCTGTAAGAAAGTCTAGTAGACTAGATGCTGTTGTCAAGACTTGTATGTTGGTTGTTATGCTTTCAGTACATTCCACACCATTTACCTCCATTCATGCTGCCTTGCCTATAGTAACCTCCACTGCCTCCACCACCATGGCCATAAACACCCAAGCCATCAGCAGCACCATATTTTCCATGTAACTGTTCCCCATTTTCATTTTTACAACAGAGCCATAACCTCTTTGATTATTCATTCCATCTCTGCTGTGGCCTCCCATTCCAGAACCTCTCATTCCAGAGCAGAATTCAAAATAGTTTAATTTATCAATGCTGCATTTTTTTTTTCATGTTTAGACACGGCAACTACTGCATCTTTTTTTTCCTTTTTTTTCCATAACAAAGAGTTTATTGTTAGCACAATTTGTGGATCACAGTTGAAAGAGCACTGATATAGAAAAATATTTCCAGTGGCAATTTAACTTTTTATTGTATTGAAAAAACACTATGAGATCAACTCTCTTCGCAAATTTTTAAGTGTACAGTACAGAGTTGTTATCTATAAGCATAAGGTTGTCTCTAGAACTTTTTCATCTTTCATAACTGGAACTCTATGTCTATTGAACATCAAGTCACCATTTTCCCCTCTCACTAGCTCCTGGAAAGCACCATTCTACTTTGTGTTTCTATGTTTGACTAGGTGAGATACCTTGTGTAAGTGGAATCAAGCAGTATTTGTCCTTCTGTGATTGGCTTATTTCAATTAGCATGATGTTACCGCATCTTTATATGTCGCAAACTCTATATCTACTTCTGTTGCTCCGCCATTAGCTTCAATATCAATATGAATTCATACTGGATTTAGTGGTGAGAAGAAATTAGCAATGTTATTTTCAGTTGCATAAAAAGGCAACCCTCTAATATACAAAAGAAATGACCACCATGAAAACCTGAACTTGCATCATTAGCTCTGCCATAGCCATGTCCTCTCATACCTCTTCTATCATTCTGTCATCGAAGCCATTATTTCCATAGCCATAATTGTTGTAGCCACCATAGTTATGAAAACCTTCATAAACATCATCATATCCATTACCTCCTCATCACATTCTGTTATACATACTTTCACATCCAACTCTATAATAACCCTCCTGTCTCCTGTTGATCTATCATATGGTCCCAGTCACTGTTAAAGACAAATAGGCAAAAGACTTGCATGAAAAAGGACTTTGCACAAAAGAGGGTATCCAAATGTGATGGAGTGCTCCACTTCATTACTTGTTAGGAAAATGTAAATTAAAATAATGAAACCACATATCCACTAGAATGGCTAAAATAAAAACATAAAAAAGACAAATGATGCTAAATATTGGCAAGGATGTGGAATTCCTGGAATCTCAAACACTCTTTCTGGAAATATAATTGGTAAAACGACTTAAAAAAATATTTGAATGGAAATACTAAAGCTGGACATAAGCGAACTCTCTTTTCTAGCAATTCCAGTCCTAGCCACATACCAACAAAAATGTATGCATATGTGCACCAAAAAGCATGTGCAGGAATATTCGTAGGAGCACTATTTTTAATAGCCCACAACTAAAATCAATTCAAATTGCCAAAACAGTAGAAATGATAAATATATTACAGAATCTTCATATAGAGCAAATAAATTAATGCTGTAGGTGAAAAATCTCACAAAAATGTCCAGATACAAAAGTGCTCAAATTATATAATTCTATCATTATGAAGTTCAGAAACAGATAAACTTAACTTATAGTGAAATAAGTCATAATGGTAGTTACTTTTGAGGAGGATCATATCAGTGTGATTATAGAGTGAGTTGCTTTGGGCCTGACTCTCCAGTCTGATATTGCACTATTCTACCTTTTGCTCACTATTCTCAAACTCACTGATCCTCTTTGTATTCCTTGTATTAGTCACAGTTCTCTAGAAGGACAGAACTAATAGGATAGAGAGATATATGTAAGGGGGAGTTTATTAAGGAGTATGGACTCACACGATCATAAGGTGAGGTTCCACAAGAGGCCATCTACAAGTTGAGAACCAAGGAAGCTAGTTCGAGACCCAAGGCTGAAAAAGTTGGACTCTGATGTTTGAGGATGGGAAGCATTCAGCATGGGAGAAAGATGTAGGCTGGGAGACTAAGTCAGTCTAGTCTTTTCATGTTCTTCTGCCTGCTTTTATTCTGGTTGTGCTAACAGCTGATTCGGTCGTGTCCACCCAGATTGAGTGTGGGTCTGCCTTTCCCACACCACTGACTCAAATGTTAACTTCCTTTGGCAACACCCTTACAGACACACCCAGGAACAGTACTTTGCATTCTTCAATCTAATCAAGTTGACACTCAATATTAACCATCATAAGTCCACCCCTTGTCAACTTGAACCCATACACATCTCCTCAGAACACACATAATCTTCAAATGAAGACAATAATAAGGTCATAATTACACCTAACATAATACAACCATCCTTCGTAAAACTGGAAACGCACCAATCTCCAACCCAAATGCTACTACATAAAGTTAACTACATTTAAATGATGATATGAAGTGAATAAATCTTTTGTCACACAAAGAAAAAAGAAAGTGAAATGAAGATATATTCTTAGTATAACTGTATACATGCACAAACATGTTCCTAATAAAATAAATAGGAAATTTCTTCTATGGTTTTTAGGGTTTTGGGTTTTACATTTAAGTCTTTAGACCGTCTTGAGTTAATTTTTGTATAAGGTGTAAGGAAGGGGTCCAGTTTCTGTTTTCTGCATATTGCTAGCCAGTTTTCCCAGCACCATTTACTGCATAGGAGATCTTTCCCCATTGCTTGTTTTTGTCAGGTTTGTCAAAGATCAGATGGTTGTAGATGTGTGGTGTTGTTCCTGAGGTCTCTGCTCTGCTCCATTAGTCTATATGTCTGGTTTGATACAAGTACCTTGCTGTTTTGGTTACTGTAGCCCTGTAGTATAGTTTGAAGTCAGGTAGCCTGATGCCTCCAGCTTTGTTCTTTTTGCTTAGGATTGTCTTGGCTATATGAGGTATTCTTTGATTCCATATGAAAGTTAAAATAGTTCTAATTCGGTGAAGAATGTCAATGGTAGTTTGATGGGAATAGCACTGAATCTATAAATTACTTTGGTCAGTATGGCCATTTTCATGATATTGATTCTTCCTATCCATGAGCATGGAATGTTTTTCCATTTGTTTGTGTTCTCTCTTATTTCCTTGAGCAGTGGTTTGCAGTTCTCCTAGAAGAAGTCCTTCACATCCCTTGATAGCTGTATTCCTAGGTATTTTATTCTCTTTGTAGCAATTGTGAATGGGAGTTCATTCGTGATTTGGCTGTCTGCTTGCCTCTTGTTGGTGTACAGGAATGCTTGTGACTTTTGCACATTGATTTTGCATCCTGAGACTTTGTTCAAGTTGCTTATAAGTTCAAGAAATTTTGGGGCAAAGATGATGGGGTTTTCTAAATATAAAATCATGTCATCAGCAAAGAGAGATGACTTAACTTCCTCTCTTCCTATCTGAATATGTTTTATTTCTTTCTATTGCCTGATTTCCCTGGCCAGAACTTCCAATACTATGTTGAATAGGAGTGGTGAGAGAGGACATCTTTGTCATGTACCAGTTTTCAAAGGGAATGCTTCCAGCTTTTTCCCATTCAATATGATATTGGCTGTCGGTTTCTCATAAATAGTTCTTATTATTTTGAGATATATTTCATCAACCTAGGCAATACCATTCAGGACATAGGCATGGGCAAAGTCTTCTTGACAAAATCACCAAAAGCAATTGCAACAAAAGCCAAAATTGACAAATGGTATCTAATTAAACTAAAAAGCTTCTGCACAGCAAAAGAAACTACCATCAGAGTAAACAGGCAACCTACAGAATGGGACAACATTTTTGCAATATGCTCACCTGACAAAGGTCTAATATCCAGAATTTACAAGTAACTTAAACATATTTACAAAAAAAAACCCATCCAAAAGTGGTCAAAGGATATGAACAGACACTTTTCAAAAGAAGACTTTTATGCTGCCAACAAACATATGAAAAAAGCTCAACATCACTGATCATCAAAGAAATGCAAATCAAAAGCTCAATCAGATATCATCCCATGCCAGTCAGAATGGCAATTACTAAAAGGTCAGGAAACAATAGATGCTGGTGAGGCTGTGTAGAAATAGGAACGCTTTTACCCTGTTGGTGGGAACGTAAATTAGTTCAACCATTGTGGATGATAGTATGGCGATTCCTCAAGGATTTAGAACCAGAAATACCATTTGACCCAGCATTCCCACTTCTGAATATATACCCAAAGGAATAGAAATCATTCTACTGTAAAGACACATGCACACATATGTTTATTGCAACACTACTTACAATAGCAAAGACATGGAACCAATCCAAATGCCCATCAATGACAGGCTGGATAAAAAAACTGTGGTACATATACACCATGGAATACTATGCAACCATAAAAATGAATGAGATTATGTCCTTTGCAGGGACATGAATGAAGCTGGAAGCCATATTTTCAGCAAACTAACAGAGGAACAGATAACCAAACACTGCATGCTCTCACTCATAAGTGGGAGTTGAACACTGAGAACACATGGACACAGAGAGGGGAAAAACAAACACCAGGGCCTGTTGAGGGGTTTGAGGGATGAGGGGAGGGAAATTAGAGGATGAGTCAATAGATACAGCAAATCACCATAGCACATATATACCTATCTAAAAAACCTGCACGTTCTGCACATGTATCCCATATTTTTTATAAGAAATAAAGAAAAATAACAAACAAAAGAAAAAAGAGAGAGACTGTAATAACATAAATAACATAGCATTTCAATTAAAAAAATAAAGGGGAAATACTCATGACAATTACAGTCTTCATTTCTGCAACTGATCACGTGGTCATAGCTGGTATTGATTACTACCTTCTTCTACTACCCATACTGTATTCCCTTTGCTTTCAGCAAGCACCTCAACAGGTCATGGTTGTTTTCCTGGTGGAGTGACTCAAACCTTCATTTTCGAAGAGTCTGGACCATTTATAGTCCTGCCTGGATTGGGCTGTTGTGGTTTTCCATTAACTTTAATCACAGGGCATGATAATACTAAGAGATCTAATACTAAGATAATACTAAGGGATCTTCTGTATTCCATGCATACTCTTCCCTACCTCCATTGTGATATAATAGACTGATTTCATCTTGATAGTCTGGGTGAGTCTGCACAGCCAACACTGTAACTTCCTTCTTAGCTTATTGACTTAGAGGTAGGAGGAGCCCAAAGTGTCCAGGTGGCAATCTTAATTTCCAGTTTAATGGAATCATTGTTGTGTCTCTTGGTGGCAGCGTTCCTCCCTCAGAACTAAGACCTCTAGGCCAGCAGAATGTAGTGTTGCAGAAACAGGAAGCAAAAATATTGCTAGTGGATTACTAGGGGTGATGTTGAGTGGTGCCACTTCCACTTCCACCCCTTGATTCTTGGACCCATGAATCCTGACTATGGGAGAAACAGTACCATATATTAGATGGTAATTCAGAACATACACAGCCTTCTGGAGAACTTTCCCCAGCCCTGCAAAGTATTGTCATCTAGTTGGCATTGTAATTGTGACTTCAAAAGCCATTCCACCGTTCTATCAATCCAGCTGCTTCAGGATGATTTGGTACATGGTAAGACCAGTGAATTCCATGAGCATGTGCCCACTCCCACACTTCTTTGGCTGTAATGTGAGTGCCTTGGTCAGAGACAATGCTGAATGGAATACCACAACAGTGGAAAAGGCATTTCATGAGTTCACAGATGGTAGTCTTGGCAGAAGCATTGCATGCAGGATAGGCAAATCCATATCCAGAGTAAGTGTCTATTCCAGTGAGGACAAACCGCTGCCCTTTCCATGATGGAAAAGGTCCAATACAATCAGCCTGCCACCAGGTAGCTGGCTGATCACCAAAGAAATTGTGGCATATCAACGGCCAAGTGTTGGTCTGTGGTGCTGGCAAATTGTCCACTCAGCAGTGGCAGTAGCCAGGTTTGCCTTGGTGAGTGGATGTCCATGTTGTCAGCAACATATCTCAGGCCCATGTGAAACCTCCATCCCTGCTAACATGGCCACTTTGTTCATGGGCCATTTGTTCATAGGCGATGACAGGGGTGGCTGGCGAAAGAGGCTGAGTGGTGTCTACAGAATGGGTCATCCTATCCACATGATTATTAGAATCCTTCTCTGCTGACGTCACCCGTTGGTGAGCACTCACATGGGATGCAAATATCTTCAGTTTTTGACCACTCAGAGAGGTCTGTCCACATAACTCTTCCCCAAATTTCTTTGTTGCCAATTTTCAAATCATGCTTCTTCCAACTCCTTGACCATCCAGCCAATCAATTGCATACAGCCCATAAATCAGCATATAATCACACATTTGGCCATTTCCCCTTCCATGCAAAGTGCATAACCAGATGTACTGCTCAAAGCCCTGTCCACTGGGAAGATTTCCCTTTACCTCTGTTTTCCAGGGATGTCCTAGCAAGGAGCTGTAGTGCTGCAGCTGTCCACTTTTGGGTGGTGCCTACATATTGTGCAGAACCATCTGTGAAACAGGCCTTAGTCTTTTCTTCTTCTGTCAACTGATCATAGGGAACTCCTCATGAGGCCATTGCTGCAGGCTGGGGGAGAGAAGGCAGGGTGGCAGAAGTGGAGACCATGGGCATTTGAGCTACTTCCTCATGTAACTTACTTGTGCCTTCAGGACCTGCTTGAGCCTGATCACATATAAACCACTTCAATTTGATGATGGAATGCTGCTGTGCATGACCCACTTTATGGCTAGATGGGTCAGAAAGCACCTGGTTCATGATAGGCAGTTCAGGTCACATGGTTACTTGATGGCCTACAGTCAAACATTCAGTTTCCACTGAAGCCCAGTAACAGGCCAAGAGTTGTCTCAAAAGGAGTGTAGTTATCTGCAGAAGACAGTAGGGCCTTGCTCCAAAATCCTAGAGGACTCCACTGTGATTCACCTGTGGGGGCCTGCCAATGGCTCCAAACAGCATATTTATCTGCCACTGACACCTCAAGCACCATTGGTTATGCTGGGTCATATGGCCCACGTGGCAGAGCAGCTTGCACAGCAGCCTGGACCTGTTGCAGAGTGTTCTCCTGTTCTGGACCCCATTCAAATCTGGCAGCTTTTTGGGTCACTTGATAAATGGGCCAGAGTAACACACCCAGATGAGGAAAGTGTTGCCTCCAAAATCCAAATAGGCTGGTCTCAAACTCCTGGAATCAAGCAATCCACCTGCCTCCACCTCCCAAAGTGCTGAGATTACAGTTGTGAGCCACTGCAACTTACCTGTTCATTTAGACTTTATCATTGGATGTTTGTGTGGCTTGGAAGCTATCAGAATTCAGAGGGTTCATATTTTTTCTCCTACATTCAACCAGGAACAACTTGAAGGTTTTCTGCCTAATTGCTGCTAAGGGGATTTGGCCTTCAGAATATACAAGGCCTTCCAGACTGTCAGAAATGAATGCAATTTCATTTTTAGGCTGGCTTTCTTGTACTCTAGCCCCTGGGTCAGAGTAGCTTATTGTCAAAATTAGTGCTTTTGTTAGAGGTGTGTTTAATTCTTTTGACCTGACAATTCTTTTGTATCCATGAAATTTAAATTCTGCTTGCAAATCTCTGTGTGGCTTAAGAAATGCTTTCAAGCTTTCCCCACATCCTGCTCTGATTCTTCCTGAGTGAGTGCAGTGTAGCACCTGGGCAGTCTTATCATCCTCCAAGATTGGCCAGAAGGGTGCTTCTTGGCTGCTTCTTTTCCTGGACCTATTACACCTCAGCTCTGGTATTGCATTTGTATACTGAAGCTCCAGCTTTCTCTTAATTGTTCTCTACCAAGATTTTAGTTGTTTCAACAATATCCTTAGATATGAAGTTATTTATCCCTTTGTTCCTATAAAGTCACTCGTCTCAGAGCTGCAGACCTCCTTTTTTTTTTAAGTAAAAATAATTTAAGTCATGTCCTTTATAGCAACATGGATGGAGCTGGAGGCAATAATCCTAAACAAATTAATTCAGGGACAGAAAGTCAAATACCTCATATTCTCACTTATAAATGGGAGTTAAACATTGAGCATACATGGACATAAACATGCTAACAACAGACACTATGGACTACTAGATGGTAGAGGGGTGGTGGGTTAAAAAACTACCTATTGGGTACTATGCTCACTACTTTGGTGATGGGATCCATACTCCTAACCTTAGCATCACAGTATTTCCATGTAAAAAATTTGCACATGTCCCCCAGTATATAAAATAAAAGTTGAAAAAACATAAAATTTATACAAAAGATTTTATAAAAGAACAGTAATAAGTAACAAGATAAAGAGCTTCCTTATTTGAAGATTCTATCATACTGATTTTTTTTAAGTGTTTTGGGGGAATTGGTGGCAAGATGGCTGAATAGGAACAGCTCCAGTCTGCAGCTTTCAGTGAGATCAACGCAGAAGGCAGGTGATTTCTGCATTTCCAACTGAGGTGCCCGGTTCATCTCATTTGGGACAGTGGGTGCAGCCCACGGAGGGTGAGCCGAAGCAGAGTGGGGAGTCGCCTCACCCGGGAAGTGCAAGGGGTTGGGGAACTCTCTACCCTACCCAAGGGAAGCCGTTGAGGGACCATGCCATGAAAAACAATGCACTCTGGCCCAGATACTGTGCTTTTCTCATGGTCTTCACAACCTGCAGACCAGGAGATTCCCTCCGGTGCCTACACCACCAGGGCCCTGGGTTTCAAGCACAAAACTGGGCAGCCATTTGGGCAGACACCAAGCTAGCTGCAGGAGTTTTTTTTTTCCATACCCCAGTGGCACTGCCCTGGAAAGGGGACTGAAACCAGGGAGCCAAGTGGTCTGGCTCGGCAGGTCCCATGCCCACGGAGCCCAGCAAGCTAAGATCCACTGGCTTGAAACTCTTGCTGCCAGCACAGCAGTCTGAGGTTGACCTGGGACACTCGAGCTTGGTGGGAGGAGGGGCCTCCACCATTACTGAGGCTTGAGTAGGCCGTTTTACCCTCACAATGTAAACAAAGCGGCTGGGAATTTTGAACTGAGCAGAACCCATCACAGCTCAGCAAGGACGCTGTGGCCAGACTGCCTCTCTAGATTCCTTCTCTCTGGGAAGGGCATTTCTGAAAAAAAGGCAGCAGCCCCAGTCAGGGGATTATATATAAAGCCGCCATCTCCCTGGAACAGAGCAACTGGGGGAAGGGGCGGCTGTGGGCGCAGCTTCAGCAGACTTAAACATCCTGCTTGATGGCTCTGAAGAGAGCAGTGGATCTCCCAGCACAGCATTCATTTGAGCTCTGCTAAGGGTCAGACTGCCTCCTCAAGTGGGGCCCTGATGCCCGTGTATCCTGACTGGGAAACACCTCCCAGTAGGGGTTGACAGACACCTCATATAGGAGAGCTCCAGCTGGCATCTGACAGGTGCCCCTCTGGGATGAAGCTTCAGGAAAAGGCAGCAATTTTTGCTGTTCTGCAGCCTCTGCTGGTGATACCCAGGCAAACAGGGTCTGGAGTGGACCTCCATCAAACTCCAGCAGACCTGCAGCAGAGGGGCCTAACTGTTAGAAGGAAAACTAACAAACAGAAAGGGATAGCATCAACATCAACAAAAATGGCGTCCAAAGACCACAACCGAAGGTCACCAACATCAAAGACCAAAGGTTGATAAATCCAGGATGATGGGGAAAAACCAGTGCAAAAAGGCTGAAAAATCCAAAAACCAGAACACCTCGTCTCCTCCAAAGGATGACAACTCCTCGCCAGCAGGGGAACAAAACTGGATGGAGAATGAGTTTGATGAATTGACAGAAGTAGGCTTCAGAAGGTGGGTAATAACAAACTCCTCCGAGCTAAAGGAGTATGTTCTAACGCAATGCAAGGAAGGAAGCTAAGAACCTTGAAAAAAAAGTTTAGAAGAATAGCTACCTAGAATAACCAGTTTAAAGAAGAACATAAGTAACCTGATGGAGCTGAAAAACACAGCACGAGAACTTTGTGAAGCATACACAAGTATCAAGAGCTGAATCGATCAAGCAGACAAAAGGATATCAGAGACTGAAGATCCACTTAATGAAATAAAGGGAGAAGACAGGATTAGAAAAAAAAGAATGAAAAGGAATGAGCAAAGTTTCAAAGAAATATGGGACTATGTGAAAAGACCAAATCTACGTTTGATTGGTGTACCTGAAAGTGACGGGGAGAATGGAATCAAGTTGGAAAACACTCTTCAGGATATTATGCAGGAGAACTTCCTCAATCTAGCAAGACAGGCCAACATTCAAATTCAGGAAGTACAGAGAACACCACAAAGATTATCCTTGAGAAGAGCAACCCCAAGACACATAATTGTCAGATTCACGAAAGTTGAAATGAAAGAAAAAATGTTAAGGGCAGCCAGAGAAAAAGGTAGGGTTACCCAAAAAGGGAAGCCCCTCAGACTAACAGAGATCTCTCAGCAGAAACCCTACAAGCCAGAAGAGTGGGGGCCAATATTCAACATTCTTAAAGAAAAGAATTTTCAACCCAGAATTTCATATCCAGCCAAACTAAGTTTTATAAGTGAAGGAGAAACAAAATCCTTTACAGACAAGCAAATGCTGAGAGATTTTGTCATCACCAGGCCTGCCTTACAGGAGCTCCTAAAGGAAGCACTAAACATGGAAAAGAACAAACAATACCAGCCACTGCAAAAACATACCGTATTGTAAAGACCATCAACACTATGAAGAAACTGCATCAACTAACGGGCAAAATAACCAGCTAGCATCATGATGACAGGATCAAATTCACACATAACAATATTAACCTTAGATGTAAATGGGCTAAATGCCCCCAAGTAAAAGACAGACTGGCAAACTGGGTAAAGAGTCAACACCCATTGGTGTGCTGCATTTAGAAGACCCATCTCACGTGCAAAGACACACATAAGCTCAAAATGAAGGGATGGAGAAATAGTTACCAAGCTGATGGAGAGAGAGAGAAAAAAAGCAGGGGTTGCAATCCTAGTCTCTGATGAAACAGACTTTAAAGCAACAAAAATCAAAAGAGACAAAGAAGGGCATTATATAATAGTAAAGGGATCAATGCAACAAGAAGAGCTAACTATCCTAAATATATATGCACCCAATACAGGAGCACCCAGATTCATAAAGCAAGTTCTTAGAGACCTACAAAGAGACTTAGACTCCCACACAATAATAGTGGGAGACTTTAACACCCCACTGCCACTATTAGACAGATCAATGAGACAGAAAACTAACAAGGATATTCAGGACTTGAACTCAGCTCTGGACCAAGCAGACCTAGTAGACATCTACAGAGCTCTCCACCACAAGTCGACAAAATATACATTCTTCTCAGCACCTCAATGCAGTTATTCTAAAATTGACCACATAATTGAAAGTAAGACACTCCTCAGCAAATGCAAAAGAATGGAAATCATAACAAACTGTCTCTCAGACCACAGTGCAATCAAATTAGAACTCAGGATTAAGAAACTCATTCAAAACCGTACAACTACATGGAAACTGAACAACCTGCTCCTGAATGACTGCTGGGTAAATAACGAAATTAAGGCAGAAATAAAGACACAACGTACCAGAATCTCTGGGACACATTTAAAGAAGAGTTTAGAGGGAAATTTATAGCACTAAATGCCCATAAGAGAAAGCAGGAAAGATCTAAAATCAACACCCTAACATCAAAGAACTAGAGAAGCAAGAGCAAACAAACTCAAAAGCTAGAAGAAGACAAGAAATAACTAAGATCAGAGCAGAATCGAAAGAGACAGAGACACAAAAAAAACCCTTTAAAAAATCAATGAAAAGATCAACAAAATATATAGACTGCTAGTCAGATTATTAAAGAAGAAAAGAGAGAAGAATCAAATAGATGCAATAAAAAATGATAAAAGGGATATCACCACTGATCCCACAGACATACGAACTACCCTCAGAGAATACTATAAACACCTCTATGCGAGTCATCGCATCAATGTTCATCATCAAATGTCCCTTATGTCAGAGGGACAAAAACTCCACCCTTGAATTATGCCAATGCTGCCTTTCTTTTTTTTTCCCCCCTGGTCAGCCCTATCGAAACTTCAAGGACTAAAAGTGAAAGAATGGTGGTAGCCCAAAGGAAAATGAAAATAAGTTGCTAGAAACATTTATAGTTTTCTAGTTTGTTTGTGTCATCTGATTTCTTTCAGCACTGTTTTGTAATTATCATTGTGGTCATCTTTCACCATTTTGGTTAGCTGTATTTTGGGGTATTTTATTCTTTTTGAGGCTATTGTGAATGGGATCATGTTCTTGTTTGGGCTCTCAGCTTGAATGTTGTTGTTGTAAAGAAATACGACTGATTTTTTACATTTATTTTTTATCCTGAAATTTTACTGAAGTTGTTCATCAGATCTAGGAGTTTTGGGCAGAGACTATGGGGTTTTACTAGGTATTGAATCATATCAACTGCACAGATCTGACTTTTTCTTTTCCTATCTGGATGCCTTTTTTTTCTTTCTCTTGCTTGATTGCTCACCAAGTACTATGTTGAATAGAACTGATGACAGTGGACATCTTTGTCCCAGTTTTCAAGGGGAATACATCCAGCTTTGGCCCATTCAGTATGATGTTGATTGTGGGTTTCTCATAGGTGGTGCTTATTATTTTCGGCATGTTCCTTCAATGTCTAGTTTATTGAGGGTATTTTAAGATAAAGGAATGTTGAATTTTATCAAAATCATTTTCTGCATTTATTGAGATGATCATGTGTTTTTTTGTTTTTGGTTCTGTTAATGATGAGTCACATTTATTGATTTGCATTTGTTGAACCAACCTTACATCCCAAGGATAAATCCTACTTGATCATGGTGGATTAGTGTTTTGATGTGCTGTTGGATTTGGTTTGCTAGTATTTTGTTTAGGATTTTGCATCTGTGTTCAAGGATATCGTCCTGAAGTTTTCTTTTTGTTGTTGTTTCTCTGCCAGGTTTTGGTATCAGGATGATGTTGGCCTCATAGAGTAAGTTAAGGAGGAGTCTCTCTTCCTCAATTTTATGGGATAGTTGCAGTAGAATTGGTACCAGCTCTTCTTCATATACGTGGTACAATTTGTTAATCCATCTGGTCCTGGGCTTTTCCTGGTTGGTAAGCTGTTTATTACTGATTCAGTTTTGGAACTTATTATTGATATTTTCAGGGATTCAATTTCTTCCTGGTTCAATTTTGAGGGGTTGTGTGTTTCCTGAAATTTATTCATTTATTCTAGGTTTTCTAGTTTTTTTTTTGCATAGAAGTGTTCATGATAGTCCTGACAATTTTTTTATTTCTTTGTGGTCATTGACAATGTCTCCTTTGTAATTTCTCATTGTGTTTCTGTGGCTCATCTTTTTTTTAATTGGTCTAGCTAGCAGTCTATCAGTCTTACTTATTCTTGCATAGAAACAACTCCTGGATTATTTCATCTTTCACATGGTAGTTTTACATTTTGCATCTAGTTTTATTACTTACATTGAATTCATTTTTGTATTTGATGAGGGATAAAAATTGAAGTTCATTTTTTTGCATATGAATATCCAATTATTCTAGCACCATTAGTTAAAAAGATGTTTTTCTACTTATTTGTTCTTGAACTTTTGAGAAAACCAATTGCTAATATATGAGTGGTTGTTTTTGTTAACTTTGTCAAAGATTAGTTGGCATCAAGTCATGGTGGCTCATATATGTAATTATAGCACTTTGGGAGGCCAAGGTGGGATCATTGCATAAGCCCAGGTGTTCAAAACCAACCTGGGCAACATAGCAAGATCTTATGTCTACAATAAATAAATAAATACATACATACCTAAATAAACAAAATACAACAAAAAATTAGCTACGCACAATGGCATGTGCCTATAGTCCTATCTACTTGGGAGACTGAGGTAAGAGGATCACTTAAGTCCAGGAATTCAAGGCTGCAGTGAGCTATGATCATTCCACTGCACTCCAGCTTGGGTGAGAGAATAAGGCCTTGTCTCTTAAAAAAGAAAAGATCAGTTGGCTGGAGTTATGTGGCTTTATTTCTAGGTTATCTATAAAATTCAAATATGACATGTTTTCACTTATAAATGGGAGCTAAATAATGTGTACACATGGAAATAGAGTGTGGAGTAATATACATTAGACATAGAATGGTGGGAGGGTGGGAAAGAGGTAAGAAATGAGAAATTACCTAATGGGTACAATGTGTACTACATGAGTGATAGCTACATTAAAAAACCAGACCTCACCACTATTCAATATATTCATGTAACAAAACTGCACATGTACCTTCTAAATCTACACAAATGCACAAACATACTTATATATATGAACATATGTTATAGGAGGCAGAAAGAAATTATTTAGGTAGACAGGGTAAAGCAAGTCCCTCTCAAAAAAAATTCCTTTTAACAAAAGCAGCTCAAAAATAACTCTTTTTAACCTCATGCAGTTCAAAGAAATCACTTGTCCTCTAACAACAAGCAGCCTGAAAGAGCAGATTGTAAAAGAAATTTCTTAAATGAAAAAGAGTTTTCTTAAAGAGTGCTCAGAATTTTCTTAAAGAGTGTTCACCATCCTGGGCAACATGGTGAAACCCTGTCTCTACTAAAGATACAAAAATTAGCCAGGCGTGGTGGCATGCGCTGGTAGTCCCAGCTACTCTGGAGGCTGAGGCAGGAGAATCATTTGAACCCAGGAGGTGGAGGTTGCAGTGAGCCGAGGTCGTACCACTGCACTCCAGCCTGGGCAACAGAGCAAGACTCCATCTCAAAAAAAAAAAAAAAGCTCAGATTAATTGAAAGTGGATATCCAAGCTATGGGTATATTTAAAAGGCCTTTATGTTTTTCTCTTTATAAATCTTGTTTTTCTGGAAGAGTTTTTTTTTTCTGTCAACTAAATTACTTTTTTCTTTTCACTCTATCTTGCTACTCTTGGTGCATGCATAAAAGACCGTAGAATGTCTTCTGGTGGCCTGGGACTCCTTAGGAAAACAGAAAAGGTACCACAAATTCCACTTTAGGAAAAAATATCTGTTTTCTTCATGTAGCCCCTGAAATTAATGGTAAATAAGTGCCTCTCAAAATATGTCTTTCTCTTCCGGCTATGCTTGTTTATTAGGCCCTGGAAATTGTATTACTAACCCTGTTCTTAAAGGGCCTCACCCAGAGGCAAATAATCCAATTGGGAACTTAGCAAATAAAAATCTCATAACTACTGTATTTTTTTCTGTTTGTGTGGTTATATATGTGTAATGTGTGTAATGCTTATTTAAAAAGAGTTCTAGTTAATTGGCCTAAAATAATAAGCACTTAAATAAAATATTTTTAAAGGAAAATTAAAAGCTGTGGTATCTTTCAGCTTATGTGACTTTAATCTTTAAAATAAAAAGAGTCTTAGGAATAATTGGTAAAGTAAAAATGTCTTCAAGGTGTAAAGATGTGGTCTAAATTATGCCGGTCAAATACTAGGTTTGCTAAATGTTTTAAGGTTGTAAACTGCTTCTTTAGCCTTTAAAAACTGTCAACTTGCCTGCTTCACAATTGGTAAAAATTATAAGAAGGCATGAAAATGTACATTTTAATTAGGAATAAAGAATTGTCTTAAAATTAAATAAAATAAAGTGAAAGGTTTAAGCAAATTGTAAAAAGATTGTAAAAATTAATCTTGCAAAGGAAACTCTGTGTGTAAACATATTAACTAAATTCAAAATAATATATTTTTTCTGTAAATTAAACACTAGAATGGACTAAACTAATAGAAAACAAAAAAAGGTTTTAACTTTTGTTTGGAACACTGCTAATCTTTGTTTTATTTTTCAGAGTCAAGAAAACTTGTCTTAAGCTAGCTACAGCCTGTAACAACTAAGTAAAGTATACTACTGTAAATAAGATTTGAAGCATGTTTGTTTCTCTCTGCCTAGTTCTTCTAGAATTTGGAAACTAGTCATAAGTATTCTTAAATTACAATATAGTTGTTTGCATCAGTGCAACAAAAATCTATTTTCTTTTGCAACAAGAAACAATTGGAAAACCTAGTTGTTTTACCAAGGCTTTAGCTGGAAGGGTATGTTCCCCTTTAAGGAATCAAGCTTGATTTGCAAAGCCAATAAAAGCCCCTTGGATACTGCCCTTATAACTTGTTTACACAGTCTCCCTGGGGCGTTCCTGACCGGTGGTGAGTAAAGAATGTCACTTTCTAACAGGCCTAGAAACCCCATGCTCCAGGAACCTCAAAAAGAAAGAAGTTTACCCAACTCACAGGTATTTAAAGGTGCAAACCCATAGCTGGGCTGGGATTTAAAAGGTCCTATCTGAGATTCCTTGTGGAACAAAGTTCCATCAAAGCCAATCTAAAAGGCCTATGTAAAAATAGTTATTCTTGCTGCACTTTATGCAAATAATTAGGCCAAGTATAAGAGTAAAGTTTATTTTGCAAACAGCTCAGTCATATCATAAGTTTAACAAAAATGAGGACTCGAGAGAGAGAGAAATTATGTTTTAAAACTTATACACCTGTTGACTTCTCATCTCATTAATTGTTTTTAATTCTTGCCTACATTTTAAACTAACCCTGCTTATTCCTGTCAACCAACCAGCTATCTCTGGCTGCAGCTCAGAGAAAACAAAAAAGGATGGGTAATGTAAAAGTCTGAAACAATGTTCTAGTTCTGGGCAATTATCCTACAGATCCTGCCAGGTAACCTATAATCCCAATGTTTCCTTTTTTTTTTTTTTTTTTGGAAAGTAAAACCAAGAAAGCTAAACAAAGCCAAGTCCCATACACCCACTTACAACAGAACAACCCATCTAAATGTCTCACAGGCATCTACCAAACTCTGTTGTCATGGTTATGGCCTATAGTGCCCCCCGCCCCCAACAGTAATGGTAGACTTAATACTCATATTTGGATCCTATATTCTAAACCTCCTTGTAAAGTTTATCCCTTCTCACCTAGAAACCATCAAGCTTCAGATGGTGCTCTAAATGGATCCAAAAATGAAACCACCCTTTTACCGGGGACCTTTAAATTAATCCGAGGAGGAGCACTCGCTGCTATTCCCCACACAACACCCCTCTCCAGCAGAAAGTAGCCAGAGTAAGTCGTCACCCAATTCCCCCTAACAGGAGTTAGGGACTCCATTCCAGAATGGAGAAATATGTTATAAGAGGAAGAAAGAAATCATTTAGGTGGACAGGGTAAAGCAAGTCCCTGGCAAAAAAAAAAACCACTTTACTTTTAACAAAAAGCAGCTCAAAAATAGCTCTCTTTCTAACCTCATGCAGTTCAAAGAAATCACCTCTCCTCTAACAACAAGCAGCCTGATAGAGCAGACTGTAAAACACAGATAAGACAGCTTGGGTACAGAAGGAGAGGGGGAAGTTTCTTGAGTTTCTTGGGTAATCACCAAACTTCACACTCATACCGGTAAAAACAGTGGGCCTTAGTAAGCACATTCCTTTCCCTTTAGGCACACTAAGATAGGGAAGCTAAAAGTGGGTGTGGGGGGATGCCTGCAGCTGCAAGAAGATGTCTGGGAACAGACACAGAAACTCTCCCTCCCAGATAAGCAAGACAAAGCAGCACAGACTAAGATTCTGCCTATGTGGTCAGCAAACGGAATAAGAACTGATAAAAAACAAACAAACAACAACAACAACAACAACAAAAAACTCTGCTCTATGCAGATAGCACACCTGGTTCCAACTAAACCGTTGGGCCCTAGAAAGATAAGACATCCCTTCCTCATGAGGCCCCTCCTCACTAGTCCCTTTATAAAACCCCTAACATATTTACTACGGCCTATAAACCCGCTCTGGACCCCTCTCTGTGACAGAGAGCTGTTCTTTCCTTTTGTCTATTAAACTCCTGCTCCAAACTCACTCTGTGTGTGTGTGTGTGTCTGCGACCTCGATCTCCTTGGCTGTGAGACCAAGAACTTTGGTATTTACCCCAGACAACAAGGCTGCTTCACATATATGTGTACAAATACAGCCACTCATATATGTGTATGTGCATGTGTTTGTGTGTATGTGTGTGTGGTGTGTGTGTATTGCATTTCTCTATTTGTCTTTCTTGTTATCAATACCATGTGGTCTTCATTGTTATAGCTTTATAATAACTTGATGACAGATGGTATAAGTCCTTTAAATTTATTATTTTCAAAGTCATTTTGGCTATTCTAGGTTGACTGCATTTTCATATGAATGTTATAATTAACATCAGTTTCTTCAGAAAAATCTGGAATTTTTGGAATTGCATTGCATATATAAATCAATGGGGGGAAGTCAACATCTTAACAATCTAATCCATGGTTATGAAATATCTCTGCATTTATTTAGGTCTTTTAAAATCTCTCTCAGAAAGATTTTTTAGTTTTCAGTAGACAGGTTCTGCACATCTTTTGTCTGATTTATCCCTGGGTGTTTCATATGTTATAATACTATTGGGAATTGTATTTTTAAAAAGTACAAAATAATTTACCACTGTTCATTGCTAGTACATATTAATAGAATTATGATTTTTTGTATATTGAGGTTGTATTATTTAACCATGATGAGCTCAGTTATTACCTCCATTGGCTTTTTTGTTAACTCCAATGATTTTGTATGTGCTCCACCATGTAATCAGTGAAAAAATAGTTACTTTTTTCTTTCAACTCTGAATGAGTTTTATTTCTTTTTTTTTTTTTGCCTTACAATAAGAATATAAAACTCTTTCATTATGAGTAAGTCTTTTTTTTGTTAACATTTACAGTTACAGTTTCTACCCACCACTAAATAGTGGTAACCATCGACTTGTTCTTTATCGCTATAATTTTGTCACTTTGAAAATGCTAAATAGTGTCTGCGTTCATAATATTTAGAGACTTCATTGTATATTCTTGATAAAAGTCTGTTGTCATACATGTGATTTAAATGTATTTTCTCCAAGTATTTTTTTATTCTTTCAAAGAAGTGTTTTGCAGAAAAAAATCATAACTTTTATTAATTTCAATTTATTGATTATTATTTATAGATCATGAGTTTGGTTTAATGTCTAAGAAGTCTTTACTTAAATTTTTTCTCATGTTTCCTTCTAAAATATTTGCGTATATACATTTTACTTTGAATTCCATGATCCATTTTAGGTTAATTTTTAAAAGTGTGAGGTTTAGGTTGAGGTTCGTTTCTTTCATACAATTTGTTGAAAAGACTATATTTCCATCTATTTGTTTTTGCACTTTTGTCAGAAATTGTCCATTCGTACCTGTGAAGGTGTATTTCTGAACTCCCTCTTATGTTTCATTGATCTGTGTGTCTATCCCTCATCCATGGTCAGGCTGTCTTGTTTTCTGTAACTAAATAATAAGTCTTAAAATCTTACATAGTGATTTTTACACTTTACTTTTTTTTGAAAGATTATTTTTCAGCTATTTTATGGCCTTTGCCTTTCCATTTAAATTGTATAATCAGCTTGTTTACATTTACAAAATATCTTGCTAAGGCTTTTATGGGAATGGTGTTAAAGTCATAGGTACATTTGAAGATAATTAAGACATTTACCATGTTCAGACTTTTTTGTTTTAGACAGAGTCATGCTCTGTTGCCCAGGCTGGAGTGCAGTGGCACAATCTTGGCTCACTGCAACCTCCACCTCCCATGTTCAAGCAATTCTCCTGCCTCAGCCTCCCAAATAGCTGGGACTACAGGTGTGAGCCACCAAGCTCAGCAAATTTTTATATTTTCAGTAGAAACAGGGTTTCAAAGTGTTGGCCAGGCTGGTCTCGAACTCAGACTCCTAACCTCAAGTGATCCACACGTCTCAGCCTCCCAAAGTGCTGGGATTACAGGCATGAGCCACTGTGCCCAGCCTATGTTCAGACTTCTAATCCATGAACATGATATGACTATTTATTTAAAACTTTGATTTTTTTATCAGCATTTTGTAGTTTTTAGCATAAAAGTCTTATGCCTGTTTTTTAAAAGTATATAACTATTTAATTTCCTTTGGTGTGATTATAAATGGTACTATGTTTTTAATTTTGGTTTCCAAATCTTCACTGATAGTAGAGAGAAATATGATTGATTTTTGAATGTTAGCCTTGTATTAGGCAGCCTTAATAAACTTATTTATCTCTACTAAAAATTACTTTGAATTTTATACATGAATAATCATGTTACCAGCAGGTAGAGACAAATATGTATTTCTTCACTCCAATGTTTTTTCCTTACATTTTACAAAGGCTAGAAATTCTAAACCTATACATTATAGGAGTTGGAAGATGGGCAACTGTGTCTTGTTCACTATCTTAGGGAAAAAGATTTAGTCTTTCGCCATTAAGTATAAAATTATTTGTAATATTTTGGAGATGCTCTTATTAGGTGGAGGACTTCTGTTCTATTCCAGGTTTGCTGAGTTTTTTCTTTTAAATTTCAAATAGGTGTTCAGTTTTCTCAAATGCTATTTTCTGCATCAATCCATGTGACCATGCAATATTTTTTTATTTCTCATACTGCAAAAATGGTGGATTACATTAATTTATATCTTAATATGACACTAGACTTTTATTTCTGGGATAAACCCCATTTTGGCATAGTGTATTATGTGTGTATATTTATGTATTGCTGAATTCAATTGGCTAATATGTTGTTGAGGATTTTGGTGTTTATATTGATACAAATATTGGTGAGTTTAATTTTAATCTTTTAGTATTATCTTCATAACAGAGTAATGCAGACCTCAAATAATGAGTTTAGAGTGTTCTCACTTATTCTATTCTCTTGAAGAGAGATTGTATACAATTGGCAGTGTTTCATTTTTAAAGTTTTAGAATTCACTTGAGATATAATCTGTTCTTTTAGCTATCTTTTACAGAAAGGCATAAACTGTAAATTCAATTATTCTTTATTTTATAGAGGACTATTTAAAATTGTATCTTTCATCTGCAGAGTTTTGGCAATTTGTGGATATAAGAATTGGTTTATTTCTTCTAAGTCGTCAAATTCATAGGCATAAAATTGTATATTAGTTCTCTATTAATCTCATTAAAAGCATATATAGTAATAACATCCTTCAATTATGATTTTGGTAATTTGTGCATTTTTTTCCTTTTGTATTTTTATAAATGTATGGTGTACACCTGCAACTTTGTTACATGCATATTTTGTGTGGTGGTCAGTCAGGGCTTTAGAGTATCCATCACTTGAATAATGTGCATTGTTCCCATGTATAATTTATTATTATCCACCCTCTCTTACTCTCACCCTTCTGAGTTTCCATGGTCTGTTATTCCACTCTCTAGGTTGATGTTCATACATTATTAAGTTCCCACTTTTGAATGAAAATATGTAATATTTCTTTCTGTGACTAACTTGTTTCTCCCAAGATAATGGCCTCCAGTTCCACCTATGTTGCTGCAAAAGACACAATTTTATTATTTTTTATAGCTGAATAATATTCCAATGTATGCATATACCAGATTTTTTTAAATATTAACATCAACTTTATTTTATCTCATTGTAGATTTAAGTTGCATGTATCTGATTGTGATGGTTAATATTAGGTGTCAACTTGATTGGATTGAAGGATGCAAAGTATTTTTCCTGGGTGTGTCTGTGAGGGTGTTGCCAAAGGAGATTAACATTTGAGTCAGTAGACTAGGAGAGGCAGACCCACCCTCAATCTGGGTGGGCCCATCTAATTAGCTGCCAGTGAGGCTAGGAAAAAAGCAGGCAGGGAAACGTGGAAAGACTAGACTAGCTGTGTCTTCTGGCCTCCATCTTTTTCTCATGCTGGATGCTTCCTGCCTCTAAACATTGGACTCCACGTTCTTCAGCTTTTGGACTCTTGGACCTACACCAGGGGTTTGCCAGGGGTTCTCGGGCCTTCAGTCACAGACTGAAGGCTGCACTGTCAGTTTCCCTACTTTTGAGGTTTTGGGATCCGGGCTGGCTTCCTTGCTCCTCAGCTTGCAGATGGCCTGTTGTGAGAATTCACCTTGTGATCGTGTGAGTCAATACTCTTTAATAAACTCCCTTTCATATATACATCTATTCTATTAGTCCTGTCCCTCTAGAGAACCCTAATACACTGATGATTAGCGATGTTGAGCATTTTTTCAAATGATTTTTGGTTTATTGTATAGCTTCTTTTGAGAAATGTCTGTTCATGTTCTTTGTGACTTTTTAATGTGTTATTTGATGTTTTCTTCTCATTTGATTAGATTATCTTCCTTATAGAGTCTGGATATTAGTCCTTTGTCAGATGAGTAGTTTGCAAATATTTTCCACCATTCTGTAAGCTGTCTGTCTACTCTATTGATTGTTTCTTTTGCTGGGCGGAATCTCTTTAATTTAATTAAATTCCGTTTGTCGATTTTTATTTTCATTGCATTTGCTTTTGAGGTCTCAGTCATAAACTGTTTGCCTAGGCCAATGTCCACAAGAGATTTTTTCTAGTTTTTCTTTTAGAATTTTTACATTTTCAGGTGTTACGTTTAAGTCTTTAATTTATCTTGAGATAATTTTTTACATGTTGAAAAATAGGGTTCCAGTTTCATCCTTCTGCATATGACTAGCCAGGTTTTCCAGCACCATTTGTTGAATAAGGTGTTCTTTCTCCATTGTTTATTTTTGTCAACTTTGTCAAATATCAGTTGGCTGTAACTATGTGGCTCTATTTCTGAGTTGTCTATTTTGTTCCATTGATCTATGTGTCTATTTGTGCACCAGTTCCATGCTGTTTTGGTTACTATAGCCTTGTAGTATAGTTTGAAATAAAATAATGTGACACATTCTGGCTTATTTGATTAGGATTGCTTTAACCATTTGGGCTTTTAATAAGTTCCATATGTTTTTTTGTATTTTAGAAACTTTTTTTTTCCAATTTTGAAAATAGTTACCTTGGTAATTTGACAGGAGTTGCTTGAATCTATACATTGCTTTAGGAAGTATAGTTATTTTAACAGTATTGATTCTTCCTACCCATACCATGGGGTATTTTAACATTTGTCTGGGTCATCTACAATTTATTTCATCAGTTGTTTGTAGTTCTTGCAGAAGGCTTTCAGCTTTTCTATTAAATGTATTTCTAGTTATTATTCTGTGGTTATTATAAATGAAAACAAATTCTTAATTTAGTTCTCAGCTTGAGAGTTGTTAGTGTATAGAAATGAAACTGACTTTTGCGCATTAATTTTGTGTCGTAAACCTTTACTAAAGCCATTTATCAGAACTAGAAATCTTTTGAAAGAATTTTACGTTCCTCTATGTATAAGATCATGTTATCAGAGAACAGAGATAATTTGACTTCCCCTTTTCCAATTTGGATGGCTCTTCTTTTTCATTTTGACTAATTGCTTTAGTTCAGTATGTTCTATTCTTTTGTTTCTTTTAAATTTTTTTATATTCTTTTTTTCTTAAGTCTAGAAGTATTTGTTTTATAAATCTGGATATTCCGCAGTTAGGTGCATATATTTTTAGAATAGTTACATCTTCTTGTGAATTGAACCATCAGCATGACATAATATGCTTCTTTATCATTATATAATAACGAACCGTTCAATTACATATATATATATATATATATATATATATATATATATATATATATATATATAATTTCTATAGCTTTTGGGATAGAAGTGGTTTTCTGGTTACATGGATGAATTACATGAAGGAATTGTACAGCAGTTTAGTCTGAGTTTTTAGGGCCCCTGTCACCTGAGTAGTGTACATTGTACCCAATATGTAGTTTTTTATCCCTCATCCCCCTAAAACCCTCCCCACTTCTTAGTTTCCTATGTCCGTTATACGACTATGTATGCCTTTTCATAAACATAGCCTAGCTCCCAATTATAAGTGAGAACATACGGTAATTGATTTTACATTCCTCAGTAAATTCACTTAAAATAATGGCCTTTGGCTCCATCTGAGTTGCTGCAAAAGACATTATTTTATTCTTTTTTTTTGTGGCTGAATAGTATTCCATGGTATGGATATATACCACATTTTCTTTTTCCAGTCATCTCTTGATGGGCACTTAGGTTGGTTGCATGTCTTTGCAATTGTGAATTGTGCTGTGATGAACATGTACATGCAGGTGTCTTTTGATATAATGACATCTTTTTTTTTCTAGGTAGATCACCAGTAGTGGAATTGCTGGACTGTATGATAGATCTATTTTTAGTTCCTTGAGAAATATCTGTACTGTTTTACATAGAGATTGTACTAATTTACATTCCCACCGGCAATGTATAATTTTTCCCTTTTAACAACATCAATGTCAACATGTATTGTTTTTTCACTTTTAATAATGGACATTCTGGCTAGGGTAAGGTGATATCTCATTGTAGTTTTAGTTTGCATTTCCTGATAATTAGAAATGTTGAACATTTTAAAATATATTCATTGTCCATTTGCATATCTTGTTTTGAGAAGTGTCTATTCATGTCATTTGCCCACTTTTTCATGGAAATATTTGCTTTTTTCTTGCTGATTTGTTTGTGTTTCTTGTAGGGTCTGGATATTACTACTTTGTGAGATGCATAGTTTGGAAATATTTCTTCTATTCTGTGGGCTGTTTATTTTGATGATTTTGTTGTTGTTGTGCACAAGCCTTTTGGTTTAATTAGGTCCTGTTTATTTATTTTTGTTCTTGTTGCATTTGCTTTTGGGGTCTTAGTCATAATTTTCTTTGCCCAGGCCAATGTCCATAAGAGTTTCTACTGGGTTTTATTCCAGAATTTTTATAGTTTCTGGTCATACATTTAAGTCTTTCATCCATCTTGAGTTAATTTTTGTATATGGTGATAGAGATCCAATTTTATTCTACATATGACTATCCAATGTTTCCAGCACTACTTATTGAATAGGGTGCCCTTTCCCCAATTTATGTTTTTGTATACTTTGTTAAAAAAAATAGCTGGTTGTAAGTATTTGGCTTGATTACTAAGTTCTCTATTTTGTCTCGTTTGTCTATGTATCTACTTTTATCCCATTATTATGCTGTTTTGGCTACTACAGCCTTGTAGTATGACTTAAAGCTGGGTAACGTGATGCCTTCAGATTTGTCCTTTTTGCTTAGTATTGCTTTGACTATTTAGGCTATTTTTGATTCCATATGAATTTTAAAATTGTTTTTTCTAATTCTGTGAGAAATGATGTTACTGTTTTGATGGGAATTTCATTAAATCTGCAGGTCGATTTGGGCACCGTGTGATTTTTATGATACTGATTCTTCCAATCCATGAGCATGGAATTTGTTTCCAACTGTTTGTGTCATCTATGATTTATTTCAGCAGTGTTTTGTAGTTCTCCTTGTAGAGATCTTTCACCTCCTTCATTACATATATTTCTAGGTATTTTATTTTATTTTTGCAGCTATTATAAAAGGAACTGAGTTCTTGATTTGATTCTCAGCTTGGTCATTGTTGGTGTATAGCAGTGACACTTATTTGTGTGCATTGATTTTGTAACTTAGGACTTTACTGAATTCATTTATAAAATCTAGTAGTCATTTGGATGAGTCTGTATGGTTTCCTAGGTATATGGTTATATCATTGGCAAACAAATAGTTTGATTTCCTCTTTTCTAATTTGGATGCCTTTATTTCTTATTTTGCCTGATTGCTAACACTAGGACTTCCAGTATTATGTTGAATAGAAGTGGTGAAAGTGAACATCCTTGTCTTGTTGCAGTTCTCAGGAGGAATAATTTCAACTTTTTCCCATTCATTATGATGTTGGATGTGGGTTTGTCATATATGGCTTTTATTATATTGAGGTATGCTTCCTCTATGCCTAGTTTGTTGAGGGATTTTATCATGAAGAATGTTGGATCCTATCAACTGATTCTTCTGTGTGTATTGAGATGATCATACAGTTTTTATTTTCAATTCTGTTTATTTGGTGAATCACACTTATTGACTTGTGTATGTTGAACCATTCCTTCATTTCTGGGATGAAACTCATTTGAGCATAATGAATAACGTTTTTGATGTAATGTTGCATTTGGTTTGCTAGTATTTTTGAGGATTTTTGCATTTATGTCCATTAGGAACGTTAGTCTGTAGTTTTCTTTTTTAATGTCATTTCCTTGCTTTGGTATCAGGGTGATACTGGCTTCACAGACTGAGTTATGGAAGGGGTTGTCTTTTCCAATCTTTTCAAATAGTTTCAGTAGAATTGGTACTAATCTTTCTTGGTAGGTCTTTTGGAATTTGCCTGTGAATCCATATATTTCTGGGTTCATTTTTTTTTGTTGGTGATTTTTTTCATTACAGAGTAAATCTTATTGCTTATTATTGGCTTCTTCAGAATTTATATTTCTTCTGGATTCAAGCTAGGAGGGTTGTACATTTCCCGGAACTCATCCATTTTATCTATCTGTTCTAAATTTGTGCACAGAGTTGTTCATAGTAGTCTTAAATGATCTTTTGTATTTCTGTGGTATTGTTTTATTGTTTCCATTTCATTTCTAATTGAGCTTCTGTAAATCTTCTCTTGGTTAATCCACCTAATGGCACATGGATTTTGTTTACCTTGTCAAAGAACCAAATTTTTGTTTTATTGATTCTTGTATTTCCTTTATTTCAATTTTATTTAGTTCTGCTCTAAACCTTGTCATTCTTTTCTTCTGCTAGCTTTGGTTTTGGCTTGTTCTTGTTTCTCTAGTTCCTTGAGGTATGACATTAGTTGTCAACCTGTGATTTTCAGTCTTTTTGATGTAGGCATTTAGCACTATAAACTTTCCTGTTAGCACTGTTTTTGCTGTATCCCAGATTTTTTGATAGCTTGTGTCACAATTATTATTCATTTTGAAGAATTTTTTTTTACTTACAATCTTGGTTTTATTGTTAAATCAAAAATTATTCAAGAACAGATTGTTTAGTTTCCATGTATTTGTATTATTTTAAGGATTCCTTTTACAGTAAATTTCTAGTTTTATTCCACAGTGATCTGAGAAGATATTTAAGATAATTTCAATTTAAAAAAAATTTGATTGAGACTTGTTTTGTGGCCTATCATATGGTCTATTTTGGAGAATCTTCCATGTGCTGATAATGAGAATGTATGTTCTGCAGTTTTGGAGTAGAATGTTCTGTAAATATATGTTAGATCCATTTGTTCTGGAGAGCAGTTTAAGTCCAGTGTTTTTTTGTTGACTTTCTTCCTCGATGATCTGTCTAGTGCCATAGTGGAGCATTGAAGTCCCCCACTATTGCTGTGTTGCTGTGTAGTTCTTTTCTTAGGTCTAGTAGTAGTTGGTTTATAAATCTGGGAGCTCCATAATTAGGTGCACACATACTTAAGATTGTAATATCTTTTTGTTGTATTGATAGTTTTATATTTATAAAATGACCATTGTTCTTTTTTTTTACTGTTGTTGCCTCAAAGTCTGTTTTACCAACTACAAGAATGGCTACTTCTGCTAGTTTTTTATTCCATTTGCGTGAAATATCTTTTTCCACCCCTTTACCTTGAGTCTATAAGAATTTTTACCTGTTAGGTGAGTCTTTTGAAGTTAGAAGATATTTAGTTTGTGATTTTTTTAATCCAGTCTGCCAATCTGTATTTTATTTTAATTTTGTAAAGTTTTATTTCAATAGTTTTTTGTGCACAGGTTGTTTTTGTTTACATAAATAGGTTTTTCAGTGGTGATTTCTGAGATTTTGGTGTACTCATCACCTGAGCAGTGTACACTGCACTCAGTTCATAGTCTTTTTTTTTTCTTTTTTTTCCTTTTCTTTTTATTTTATTATTATTATACTTTAAGTTTTAGGGTACATGTGCACAATGTGCAGGTTAGTTACATATGTATACATGTGCCATGCTGGTGTGCTGCACCCATTAACTCGTCATTTAGCATTGGGTATATCTCCTAATGCTATCCCTCCCCCCTCCCCCCACCCCACAACAGTCCCCAGAGTGTGATGTTCCCCTTCCTGTGTCCATGTGTTCTCATTGTTCAATTCCCACCTATGAGTGAGAATATGCGGTGTTTGGTTTTTTGTTCTTGTGATAGTTTACTGAGAATGATGATTTCCAATTTCATCCATGTACCTACAAAGGACATGAACTCATCATTTTTTATGGCTGCATAATATTCCATGGTGTATATGTGCCACATTTTCTTAATCCAGTCTATCATTGTCGGACATTTGGGTTGGTTCCAAGTCTTTGCTATTGTGAATAGTGCCGCAATAAACATACGTGTGCATGTGTCTTTATAACAGCATGATTTAGAGTCCTTTGGGTATATACCCAGTAATGGGATGGCTGGGTCAAATGGTATTTCTAGTTCTAGATCCCTGAGGAATCGCCACACTGACTTCCACAATGGTTGAACTAGTTTACAGTCCCACCAACAGTGTAAAAGTGTTCCTATTTCTCCACATCCTCTCCAGCAACTGTTGTTTCCTGACTTTTTAATGATTGCTATTCTAACTGGAACGTGAAGGACCTCTTCAAGGAGAACAACAAACCACTGCTCAGTGAAATAAAAGAGGATACAAACAAATGGAAGAACATTCCATGCTCATGGGTAGGAAGAATCAATATCGTGAAAATGGCCATACTGGCCCAAGGTAATTTTTTTTTTTTTTTGAGACGGAGTCTTGCTGTTGCCCAGGCTGAAATCCAGTGGCGTGATCTCGGCTCACTGCAAGCTCCACCTCCCAGGTTCACGCCATTCTCCTACCTCAGCCTCCCAAGTAGCTGGGACTACAGGCGCCCACTACCATGCCTGGCCAATTTTTTTGTATTTTTAGTAGAAACGGGGTTTCACCATGTTAGCCAGGATGGTCTCGATCTCCTGACCTTGTGATCAGCTTGCCTAGGCCTCCCAAAGTGCTGGGATTACAGGCGTGAGCCACCGCGCCTGGCCTGAGCCCAGTACATAGTCTTTTATCCCTCTTCCCCTCTCAACCTTCCGCCTGAATCCCCAAAGTCCATTATATCATACTCATGCTTTTGCATCCTCATAGCTTAACTCCCAATTATATGTGAGAATATACAATATTTGGTTTTCCATTCCTGAGTTACTTCACTTAGAATAATGGCCTCCACCTCCATTCAAGTTGCCTCAAATACAATTATTTTGTTACATTTTATGGCTGAGTGGTATTCCATGGTGTATATATACACCGCATTTTCTTTATCCACTCATTGGTTGATGAGCATTTATGCTGGTTCCATATTTTTACAATTGTGAACTGTGCTGCTATGAACATGTGTGTACATGTGTTTTTTTTTTTTATTAATGACTTCTTTTCATTTGGGTAGATACCCAGTAGTGGAATTGATTAATCAAATGGTAGTTCTACTTTTAGCTCCTAAGGAATTTCCATACTGTTTTCCATAGTTGTACTAATTTACATTCCCACTTGCAGAATAAAAGTGTTCCTTTTTTACCAAATCCATGCCAACGTCTGTTATTTTTTGACTTCATAATTTTGGCCATTCTTGCAGGAGTAAGGTGGTGTCTCGTTGTGGTTTTAATTTGCATTTCCCTGATAATTAGTGATGTTGGGCTTTTTTCATGTTTGTTGGCTGTTCGTATATCTTCTTATCAAAATTTTCTACTCATGTCACTTGCACAGTTTTTAATGAGATTATTTGTTTTTTCCTTGATGATTTGTTTGAGTTTTTTGTATATTTTGGATATTAGTCCTTTGTTGGAGGCATAGTTTGTGAATACTTTTTCCCCACTCTGTGTGTTGTCTGTTTAGTCAGCTGATAATTTCTTTTGTTGTGAAGAAGCTTTTTAGTTTTATTAAACCTCATTTATTTATTTTTGGTTTTACTGCGTTTGCTTTTGGAGTGTTAGTCATGAATTATTTGCCTAACCCAATGTCTAGAAGGGTTTTTCGATGTTATCGTCCAGAATTTTCATGGTTTCAGGTCTTAGATTTAAGTGTTTGATCCAGTTTAAGTTGATTTATGTATAAGCTGAGAGATGAGGCTCCAATTTCATTTTTCTACATGTGGCTTTCCAGCTTCCCCAGCAACATTTATTGAGTAGGGTGTCCTTTCCCCAATGTATGTTGTTGTATGCTTTGTTGAAGATTAGTTGGCTTTAAGTATTTGGGTTTATTTCTGGGTTCTCTATACTGTTCCATTAGTCTGTATGCACATTTTTATACTAGTACCATGCTGTTTTGGTAACTATAGCTTTGTAGTATAATTTGAAATAGGCTAATGTAGAAGTCATAAGAATGTCATCTGTCTTATATCTTATATTGGTAATTTGTGTCTTCTCTCTTATTTTGCTGACCAGTTTGCTAGTCGTTTATTGATGTTATTGATTTTCCTGAATAACTAGAGGGATTTTATCTTCATTGGTTTTTCTCTATCATTTTTTTGAATTTTATTCCTACATCCTCTGATATTTATTATTTTATTGATTGCAAATATTCAGTTGTATTTACTGTTTTTCCTAGTTTCTTACCTAACATCACAACTAAGAAAGAACTAGAGAACCAAGAGCAAGCAATTCCAAAGCTAGCAGAAGACAGTAAATAACTAAAACCATGGTTGAACTGAAGGAGATAAAGGCACACACACACACACACAAAATTCAAAAGATCAGTGAAAACAGGAGCTGTCTTTTTTAAACAATTAATAAAATAGACTGCTAGTGGTAACTGTTAAAGAAGAGAGAGAAAATTCAAATAAACACAATCAGAAATGATAAGGGGGATATTACCACTGACCCCAAAGACATACAATCATCAGTGGCTACTATAAACACCTCTATGCACATGTACTGGAAAATGTAGAAAAAATGGATAAATTACTGGACATATACACCCTCCCAAGACTGAACCAGGAAGAAATTGAATTCCTGAACAGACAAATAACAAGTTCTGAAATTGAGGCAGTAATAAATTGCCTACCAACCAAAAAAAATAAATCCCAGGACCAGACAGATCCACAGCTGAATGTACAAACAAGAGCTGGTACCATTCCTACTGAAATTTTCCAAAAAAATCAAAAAGAAGGGACTCCTCTTTAACTAATTCTATGAGGCCAGTGACCTCTTGATACCAAGACCTGGCAGATATGTGACAATAAAAAGTAATTCAGACCAATATCCCTGATGAAGATTGATGCAAAAACTCTCAACAGAATACTGGCAAACTGAATCCAATAGCACATCAAAAAGAGTATCCAGCAAGATCAAGTAGGCTTTATTTCCAGGATGCAAAGTTGGTTCAGCATATGCAAATTAATAAATGTTATTCCTCACATAAACAGAAATAAAGTAAAAAACCACATGATCATCTCAATAGATGCAGAAAAGGCTTTTGATAAAATTCAACATCTGTTCATGTTAAAAACGCTGAATAAACTAGGTATTGAAGGACCATACATCAAAATAATTAGAGCCGTATGTGACAAGCCCATAGCCAAAATCATAGTGAAGCTGATAAGCAACTTCAGCAGAGTCTCAGGATACAAAATCAATGTGCAAAAATTGCTTGCGTTCATATACTCTAATAACCTTTAAGCCAAGGGCCAAATCATGAACAAATTCCCATTCACAATTGCCACAAAAAGAGTAAAAAACCTAGGAATACAGCTAACAAGGGAAGTGAAGGACCTTTACAAGGAGAACTATAAACCACTGCTCAAAGAAATCAGAGATGCCATAAAAAAAATGGAAAAACATTCCATGCTCATGAATGGGAAGAATTAATATTGTTAAAATTGCCATACTGCCCAAAGGAATTTATAGATTCAATGCTGTTCCCATTAAACTACCTCTAACATTCTTACCAGAACTAGAGAATATATTTTAGCATTTATGTAGAACTAAAGAAGAGCCCGAATAGCCAAGGCAATCGTAAGCAAAAAGAACAAAGCTGGGGGCCAGCATTGTAGTGTTACAAGAACAGACACATAGACCAATGGAACAGAATAGAGAACACAAAAATAAGACTGCACATCTACAACTATCTGATCTTTGACAAACTTGACAAAAGCAAGAACTGGGAAAAGGATTCCCTATTTAATAAATGATGCTGGGAAAACTGGCTAGCCATGTGCAGAAAATTGAAACTAGACCTCTTCTTTACAGCACATACAAAAATTAAGATGGATTAAAGATTTAAATGTAAAATACAAAACTATAAAAACCGTAAAAGAAAATCTAGGCAATACCATTCAGGACATAGGCATGGGCAAAGATTTCATGACAAAGATGCTAAAAGTAATTGCAACAAAAGCAATAATTGACAAATGGGATCTAATTAAACTAAAAAGCTTCCACACAGCAAAAGAAACATCAACAGGGTAAACAGACAACCTACAGAATGGGTTAAAATTCTTGCAAACTATGCATCTAACAAAGATCTAATATTCATCACTATAAGGAACTTAAGTTTACAAGAAAAAAAAAACAACCCCATTAATAAGTAGGCAAAGGACGTGAAAAGACACTTACCAAAAGAAGACATACATGTGGCCAACAATCATATGAAAAATAGTTCATCACTGATCATTAGAGAAATGCAAATCAAACCCGCAATGAAATGCCATCTAAAACCAGTCAGAATGGCCATTACTAAGAATTCAAAAAATAAAAGATGCTGGTGAGGTTGTGGATAAAAAGAAATGCTTTATACACTGTTGGTGAGAGGGTACCTTAGTTCAACCATTGTGGAAGACAGTGGGGTGATTCCTCAGATACCTAAGGACAGAAACACCATTAGACTCAGCAATCCCATTACTGGGTATATACTCAAAGGAATATAAATCATTCTATCATAAAGACACATGTTCATGTATGTTCTTTGCAGCACTCTTTACAATAGCAAAGACATGGAATCAACTTAAATGCCCATCAGTGACAGACTGGATAAAGAAAATATGGTACATATACACCACAAACTTTGGCACGTATCCACAAAGCAATACTATGCAGCCATAAAAAGGAATGAGATTATGTCTTTTACAGGGACATGGATGGAGCTGGAGGCCATTATCCTTAGCAAACTAATGCAGAAACAGAAGTTCGAACATGGCATCCTCTCACTTATAAGTAGAAGTGAGAACACATGGACACATAGAAGCAAACAACACACACAGGGGTCTATCAGACGGTGGAGGGTGGGAGGAGGGAGAGGATCAGAAAAAAATAACTAATGGATATTAGGCTTAATAAACGTGTGATGAAATAATCTGTACAACAAACCCTCATGACACACGTTTACCTATGTAGCAACCCTGCATATCCTGCACGTGTACTTCTGAACATAAAATAAAAGTTAAAAAGTTTAAAAACAACAAAAACAAACAAAAAGAAACAAAGAAAATAGATTTTAGATTGGTTTTACTTTTCTAATATAGGTGTTTTGTGCTATAAATATAAGAAGTGCACTTCTTGTCAGCCACATAGACTTGGATTTTGATCCTTTATTAAATTTGACGATTTCTGCTTTTTAATCAAGGTGATCAGACTATTTACATTTAAAGTGATAGTATGTATGTTTGAAGGTTTTTTATGATCTCATTTAATCTATTTTTGCTATTTAATTCACTGTAACTCCTCCTTGTCTTATTTTAATTATTGTTTTATGCTTTATATATAGTATTCATTTTCACTTTTATCACCTACCTGAAAGTTACATTTTACCAATGCACATATAGTGTAATAAACTCATAATGCTATAATTCCATTTATGCCCTTGTGTCTTTTGTACTATGACTGTCATATATTTTATTTCTATGGATATTAACCCCACAGTACCAGGCTATTATTTTTTACTTTAAAAAAGTGATTATCTTTACAAAGATTTAAGTAATGACTTTAAGAATTCCTTATAGTTATCTACTTAGTTACTGTATATAACATTTTAGTTTTTGAATATTTTTCTTTTTCTTTTCTTTTCTTTTGCCTCACTCTGTCACCCAGGCTGGAGTGCAATGGAATGATCTTGGCTCACTGCAACTCTGCCACCCAGGTTCAAACAATTCTCCTGCCTCAGCCCTCTGAGTAGCTGGGATTACAGGCGCCGGCCACCATGCCTGGCTACTTTTTAAATTTTTAGTACAGACGGGGTTTCACCATGTTAGCCAGGCTGGTCTTGAACTCCTGACCTCAAGTGAACCACCCGCCTCAGCCTCCCAAAGTACTGGGATTGCAGGTGTGAGCCCCCGCGCCTGGCTGGATATTTTTCTTTTCAGTACGTTAAACATATTGCTTCACTATTTTCTTGGTTGCATTATTTTGAAACTTTTTAAAAATCCTTATATTTGTTTCTTTGTACACATATGTTTTTTCCTCTATTTAAAATTTTTTGTCTTTATCATTGGTTTTCAGCAATTTCAAATTTTTACATGATAAATTTTGAGGAGGAAAATTCTTATATATTTTATGTAGTTTGTTCTACTCTTAAATAAAGTTATTTCAATATGTTCCAAACTTTCTTGAAGGATCATAATTATTAGCTTCAGTAATAATGCTTCACATTAATATAATAATAACAATGTTTACTGGGATTTTATTATGTGCCAAATATTCTTTCATTCTAACCAATTTACATAACCAACTTATTTAATTGTCACCACAATCTTATAAAAATATATAATTATCATTACAATTTTACAAATGATAACAGTGCACAAAGGGGTTACTAAATTTTCCAAAGGTTATTAGCTAGTAAATAATGGCTCCAAGAATTGAACCCAGGCGGTGGGGTGCCAAATTCCAATTTTTAGTTTTTATTTTTATAGATTTAGAGAGTACAAGTGCAGTTCTGTTATGTGGATACATTGCATATTGATGGAGTCTGGGCTTTTAGTGTACAGCTTGCAGGAAATGCCTGAAGGGTTATTGACATCTTCAAGCCTGTTTTACACTGAGTAAATAATACAGACTTCTGCATTCTTTGTATACCTATAGCTACTTTTTATTAGTTTTTCTGTATCCTCTTGCTTTTTGTTGTAACTTTTCATTCTGGTATAGTGTAAAACTTAAAGACAAGTTCAAAAAAGTAGTACCGGCCAGGTGTGGAGGCTCACGCTTGTAATCCTAGCACTTTGGCAGGCCGAATAGGGCAGATTACCTGAGGTCAGGAGTTCAACCACCCTGGCCAACAGGGAAAAACCCCCGTCTCTACTAAAATAACAACAATTAGCTAGGCATGGTTGCGCAGGCCTGTAATCTCAGCTAGTCGGGAGGCTGACGCAGGAGAATCGCTTGAACCAGGGAGGCAGAGGTTTCAGTGAGCCGAGATCGCGCCACTGCCCTCCAGCCTGGGCGATGGAGTGAGACTATGTCTCGTGAAAAAAAAAAAAGTAGCAGATTTAAAGATTGATATATGTTGTCCCATCTGCATTTGCGTGTGTGTGTGTGTGTGTGTGTGTGTGTGTGTGTGTATCCACCATATTTCTAAGCCAAGAAGTTACCAATTTCCCTTTGTAATTAATACTTTTTGGAAAAATTCTTGGAGATTTTGTGATGTTGCTTCATGTCAAACTTTCACTCACTACTTATGGCTTACATTGATGATTTTTACATAAATCAATGGTCACTATAATAGCTGCCAAATGATCATTTTCTAACTCCATCAATTGTAGATTTTTTAGTTAATGTACAACTCTAAGGAAGAGCTATTTATTTATTTGTGTGTAGACTCAGGTTTATATGTTATCCATTCCCTCATTCCTTTACTATCAGTAATTTTTTTAGTGCTAATACTTTTTCCATATTTTGTCAGTGAGAGCACCTTCCAGCTGGTTCCTGTTGTCTCTTTCACACCACTTTATTATTATTATTATTTAGAAATTCCTTACTTTTTTTTTAACAATACAGTGTTCTAGGCCTATCTTCTTTCTTTGCTCCGCCATGTTTTCACCCACATATTCATGGAGTGTTACTTCCTTTTATTGTAGTAATCATATTTAAACCCCAATAGGTATCCTTATTTCCTCTAGGAAATGGGGTTCCTTGCTCCTAGGCCTTGTTCAACTCTGTATTCTGTCTTATAGTGAAGAGTTTAATCTGCCTGACATTAGGATTCCCTCTCCTTTTCTCCTCCCATTCTTCATTAAATTATCTACTTATAATCAACTGTACAGTTGTAAATAAGATCACCATGTTACTTAGAACAGTGAATAAGTAGGGGTAAACATTTTCTGAGTAACAGCATAAAGGACTTATAAACAAGTGAAATTCCTTACATTGTAGTACACAGACGTTGCAATTTTAAGTTCAGTTGCTTTGAAACCAGCAATCCTTTGAATAGTAATGACATTTACAGGATATGGTAATTTATACCAAATTGATTATAGATATAAAACATACCACAATCTGTAAAATACTCTGTAAATACAAATTATATTACTTTTCCATTAAAATACTAACCTTACACTTTACTCCTATAAACACTTGTCCTTAACACTTGAGCAGTCTGTCTGCCCTATCATCTAGATTATTCTCTTTCTGGGAATGATGAAATGAACTGTTCTACTTTATAATTTAAATGCAAAGTTACTACTGTTTCAACTAAATAATTGTTCATTAATTTTTTAGTCTCCCAGTTCAAAATTATATTAAAAATTTTATCTGATAAATGTGTGCTTTTTGTCATACAAACCTCTCAATTCTTTTGTATTGTTACTGCCCATCTAAGAAAGAAAAACATGAAGGAGGTATGATTTCTTTGCCTCTGGTCTTTCAAGAAGTTCAATGAATGGAGGATCTGCTGAAGGCAGCTTGGCCATAACATAAAACTTCTCTTACCTCTAAGCTTGAGTACAAGCTTAAGAGCTGTTTTACATAGCTTTATGACTGGATCCTAGTTCTATTTCCATGAAGAAACAATGCTTCATGGCTTCAGTCACTCAGGGCATTTTTAACCTGGAATATTTCACATTTCAAAGAATTGGCCTCTCTTTATCTACAGTGATTTATTTGTAATTGCAGACTCTTAAAAATGTTTAATCATTCTAAATACTTTGTTATAATTTAATATAATTTATTCATGAAATATTTATTTTTTTAGGAAAATTCTCACCTAAGCAATGTTTTGGTTTGGTCAACTCTATCAAGCTAGGATTATCAGCAAAGATAATTTGACCAAAACAGCAACCTGGGACAGGAAAGCTCTCCCCCCTCCTATTGCTCCTGAAATTCTTTTTTACCACTGAGACACCAGGCAGCAAGTTGGCTCCAAAAAAGTGCATTCTGCCATAACAACGGTTTAGAAGTTTTTTCTGTCTCTTCTATAAAGAGGGTTCCCACAACAAACTGCCCAAATTAAAGCATTCAGTTCCAGAGGACTTGCCTGGAGAATCTCTTACACCACCTAGAGAAATAAAGATGTGTCATTTGGGAGACTCTTTTCATACTCTCAGGCAGAACAAGCAGGGACACTGGGAACCCCAGATGTATAAGATAAACAAAGCAAACCATAATAGCACCACAAAGGCTTTGAAAATTAATCTGTCCTCAGAATCACAGCTAACAAAAATAGGCCAACAGTTGAGTGCTACACCTAAACATAGTGACTCATTGCTAGAGTTAAAGATTTAAATAGAATACAGTCTCCTAACAAAATAGACAAAATGTCTAGGATACAATTGAAAACCAACCATCATACCAGGTACAAAGAAAACCACAATGTGAATAAGAAACACCAGTCAACTGATCCTAACACTGAGACAAATCAAATGCTGAAATTTTAACAAGAATTTTAAAACAGATGTCATAAAAATGCCTCAAAAACATGAATTTTTGAGGCAAAATAAGAATTTAAGCAAATGAATAGGTTATAAAATGAAAATTAAATAGAAATTATAATAACTGAAATATACATTAGCAGGAATACAAATACTTTCTGGATGGGCTAAAAATAGAGTGTCATAGAAGATGGAATTAGTAAACTTGAAGAAAAACCAGTAGAATTTATAAAATTTACAAAATATAAGAAATATAAAGAAAATAGATTTTAAAATATGAACAGAGACTGAGAGAAATGTGGAGACAATGACAAAACATTAAAAAGTAGCAGGAATGGTAATAGCTGAAACACCCCCCTATTTGGTAAAATATAGAGATTAACAGATTCAAGAAGCTGAGTTAATCTCCCATAACACCATTGAAACTTATATTAAGACATAAAATACTTAATTAAGCTAAAAACTAAGCACATACAAATAATCTTGAAAGCAGCCAGAGAGAATCAACATACCTGTAAGCAAACACCAATTCAAGCAATAAAATGAGATTAAACAACATAGGCCAAATAAAACTCATGTGTTTTTCATGCTTTAAAAGAAAAGAACTTGAGATTTTTATATCTAGCAAACTATCCTCGAGGAATAAATGAGAAAGAGAGCTATTTTCAGATGAAGGAAAATTAAAAGAATTTGTTGCTATCAGAGCTACCATTGAATAAATGGAAAATCCATGTATGTCTCAGCCCAAAATCTCCTTAAGCTGATAAGTAACTTCAGCAAAGTCTCAGGATATGAAATCAATGTGCAAAAATCACAAGCATTCCTATACACCAATAACGGACAAACAGAGAGCCAAATCATAAGAGAACTCCCATTCACAATTGCTACAAAGAGAATAAAATACCTAGGAAGACAACTTACAAGGGATGTGAAGGACCTTTTCAAGGAGAACTACAAACCACTGCTCAAGGAAATAAGAGAGGACACAAACAAATGGAAAAACTTTCCATGCTCATGGATAGGAAGAGTCAATTTGGTGAAAATGGCCATACTGCCCAAAGTAATTTATAGATTCAAGGGTATCCCCAGCAAACTACCATTGACTTTCTTCACAGAATTGGAAAAAAACTACTTTAAATTTCATATGGAACCAAAAAAGAGCCCACATAGCCAAGACAATCCTAAGCAAAAAGAACAAAGCTGGAAGCATCACACTCCCTGACTTCAAACTATACTACAAGGCTACAGTAATTAAAACAGCATGATACTGGTGCCAAGACAGATATATAGACCAATGGAACAGAACAGAGGCCTCAGAAATAACACCACACATGTACAACCCTCTGATCTTTGACAAACCTGACAAAAACAAGCAAAGGGGAAAGGATTCCCTATTTAATAAATCTTGTAGGGGAAAACTGGCCAGCCATACACAGAAAGCTGAACCTGGATCCCTTCCTTACACCTCATACAAAAATTAACTCAAGATGGATTAAAGACTTAAATATAAGATCTAAAACCATAAAAAATCCTAGAAGAAAACTTAGGCAATACCATTTGGGACATAGGCATGGGCAAAGACTTCATGAATAAAACACAAAAAGCAATTGCAACAAAAGCCAAAATTGACAAATTGGATCTAATTAAACTAAAGAGCTTCTGCACAGCAAAAGAAACTATCATCAAAGTGAACAGGCAACCTACAGAATGGGAGAATCTTTTTGCAATCTATCCATCCGTCAAAGTACTTATATCCAGAATCTACAAGGAACTTAAACAAATTTACAAGAAAAAAAACAAACAACCCCATCAAAAAGAGGGCAAAGGATATGAACAGACACTTCTCAAAAGAAGACATTTATGAAGCCAACAAACATATGAAAAAATGCAGGAAACAACAGATGCTGGAGAGGATGTGGAGAAATAGGAACACTTTTACACTGTTGGTGGGAGTGTAAATTAGTTCAAACATTGTGGAAGACAGTGTGATGATTCTTCAAGGATCTAGAACTAGAAATACCATTTGACCCAGCAATCCCATTACTGGGTATATACCCAAAGGATTATAAATCATTCTACTACAAGGACACATGCACATGTATGTTTATTGCAGCACTGTTTACAATAGCAAAAACTTGGAACCAACCCAAATGCCATCAATGATAGACTGGATAAAGAAAATGTGGCACATATAAACCATGGAATACTATGCAGCCATAAAAAAGGATGAGTTCATGTCCTTTGCAGGGACATAGATGAAACTGGAAACCATCATTCTCAGCAAACTAACTCAAGAACAGAGAACCAAATGCCACATATTCTCACTCATAAGTGGGAGTTGAACAATGAGAACACATGGACACAGGGAGGGGAACATCACACACTGGAGCCTGTTGGGGGATGTGAGGCTAGGGGTGGGATAGCATTAGGAGAAATACCTAATGTAGATGATGGGTTGATGGGTGCAGCAAACCACCATGGCACATGTATGCCTATGTAACAAACCTGCACATTCTGCATATGTACCCCAGAACTTAAAGTATAATTTTTAAAAAAGTAGATAGTAAGGGATCTAAATGAACGTAGTTTTCCATATATGACACCATCATAAAACCTTCATATCAGTAGGCTGTGATAATGCAACTGGACTCAGGTTTGGCTGCTTGCTACTCCAAAACCAGAAAACAACAGGTGAGGGTTGGTGGGAGGAAAAGCAATTTAATCAGAGACCCAACAAAACAAGAACTTGGTGAATTAGAGTTCTAAAGTACCATCTCAAAATTTAAAGTTTATCATAGGGCTTTTAAAGGGAAACTTGGTATGAGTGACATGTGGGAGTTGTCCAGGTTGCAGCCACTGTGTGTCTTGTTCAGATGGCTATCTTGGGTAATCACTTATCAAGAGGTCTGGCTTGTGTTAACTTCAGCCCATGGTGGTTGGCTTTGTTTCCAACTCCCCCTAGGCAAGAGGATTTCACAGGGGCCCTTTGTGTAGTTTGTTTCAAGATTAACCTAAGGAATTTTTAAAACAAGCATGCACTGCCAGAGGAGAGTGTCTAGAGGGGGAAGGAATGAAGAGGTGAGAGGGAAGGGAAGGAAGAAAAAGAAAGTGGGTGATTTTTAAAACTGAGGTCCCTGGTTACAACCCCTAACCCCACTGTCAAGTTTCATTCCATTTCTATGAAAAATGGGCAATGTGTTCATTTTGGCTACTTCCTGCTGAAAAGGAGCATGGTTAGGGGATGGTGGAATGGAACCTATCCACATGGAGATGAAAGTATTTGCAAGTCCTTGGACTTACAAAAGAGATCTGCTAGAGCATCATGTTGATTGTGTAACAGCAATACAGTCTACAGCAATAGAATAAACTGATCCCTATAATCATGACTAAAATTATGAGCAACTTTTTTTTTTACCAGGTGGGGCCTGATCCAAATCATACAAAGAGCCATTGATTTAAGGGCATTGTGGATAAGACATAGTTCAGTTTTCTTGTGCATGTCATATAGGGCTGAGGGTGTTTCTGGAGTTATCTTGGATGTACACACAGCATTTAGTCTTAATTATAGCACATGTTCTTCACTCTCAATTGTACTTGGAGCTCCTGTGGGGATTGATGATAGGTTAGCTAAATATACATATTTAATAGGTTGTGGGGGAGTTATGAATATTCATGAAAGTGGTCCTGACAAATGTGTATGAAACAAATATGCATGTAATATATGACTCATGTTCATTTTTGGGTGGAAACTTAACATTTAATAAGGCTGTATGTGTCAAACGGTCTTTTCAGGACACAAAGGCACTCTCATGTGCAATTTCTGTAAATTGGCCAGAACTAGTCCATGGTCAGTGGTCTTTTATTGGGAGAAAGTTACCAAAATTAATCTCTTGTCTAATTAAAGCTGTAGCTATTACTGGTGGAACAGGAGTTGGAAGTCAGTCAGCTGATCTCAAGGCCAGTGCTGGTTTGGCTAATAGAGAAAAAAAACAAAAACTAAAACAAAACCTTGTGGCACTTAGAATACAGTTTACTTTTAAATTATAGGAGTTTGTGAATTAACCCTTGCCTGGCATGGTCTTAGGTCCTGTTTATATAAGTCCTATCATGACTTACACAGACCATCTATGATATGCTTTGAATTTCTGATTTGTCCTATACTACCACGTTCTTAAATAACCAGTCATTTTATTTCATAAAAATTCAATGTATAAGGTATTTTCTCATATAAAATCATTTTCTTTTTTAAAAATAACCTTTTTACCAAAATACATATTTATATTCATAACTTTTTTTCATACTTTTCTATTCTACTTACCAGTTCATTTCTAACATTTAAATAACCTCCAAATTACAAAAAATTACTTTTTTCTCAATAAGAATACAACTTATGAAATTGTGTGATAACTAGGATTTTTTTTCCTATTAACCATTTTTAAAGCCTGTGAACATCAGGTGTTTACCTAAGCTATGATATTAAATTTAAACACATGGGCCTTGTGCCAATAACTCTGAAGATTCAACTCTTTTTTATTAAACCAACAATATTAAATTGGTCTTACTTATCACAAATCACACAAAGATTATTCTGTTTTTGCCTCTCTTTATAGTACTATAAATTTTGTGCCACACTCTGATGCCTTAACATTTCTAACAGAGACAAATATAAAACTTATCTAATCAGTAAACATAGACAAAAGTATATGTTAAGAATTCTTAAAACATTTCTATTTTTATTTTACTAATAATTTTAAAATCCTTTTTATTTTCTGAAGATGATTAAATTCATGTGAACTTGATAGCATTTTGGATTTAATTTATGAATACTCATTTACTTATAAATTAATTTTGTAGCATGTTAACACAACACATGATATAATACATGTGCATACATATAAATACATGTAAACATATATATACAAACACAAAGATCCAGTCACTTTGTAATTCTAGCCATGAGACAGCATCACAAACTCACTGTCCTATAAAAGATACTTGAATTCAAATTATTTCTCAGACAAAATTGGAACCTATTTACATGGCTAAATTTTGTTTGCCCTGACAGCTAACCCAGTGAAGGCTGTTGATCAAACTCCTGAGTAACAGTTTCCATGGTAGTTTAATTTTTGAAAAATTTCTTTCATCCTTTTCATCAGATCTAAATGAGTTATTAATGTCCATATTTTAGTTAGAAGTGGCTGAACGATATAAGCAAAACAAAAGCTTCAAGTAACTTTAAATTATAGTTTTATCTCAACACCAGTATCTTAATAACAGCAGAGTCAGAAAAGAAAAGATAGAGAGCTTTAGAAGACTATTTAACTTTATATTTGCCAGTTAGCCATGTGAGTTCTGACTTTTTATTGCTGTAATTTTCCCATCAGTTTAAAATGAGAATAAAAATGGGCTGTATTATGTAATCAGCTGGAGTCCCAGAAAATCTGCCATGTGTTTGAACTTTTCCATGTTTTGAAATATGTAAGACTGGGATCCACAAAAACAGACAAATGTAAATGAACTAGTTCTCAAATTGGGTAAAATTCTGACAACTATTCCCTTTTCTACCAGGGTACCCAAACTGAATACAACCATAAAGTGGCTTATTCGAAGGAAAAGCCCAGATGAATGGGAAGGTGTTCCAAGTTGTACACACCAGAGTGACTTACCCAGTCTTGAAGCCCATTAACTACCCCAAACAGCATGTTTGCTTGCATCAGTGAAGTGTTACCAGCAGCTGTTGCCATAAGGGAAAAGAAGGTAGAATCCCTGAGACAAAGTGTTCTTGGAAGCTTCTGGGATGTCCCTGGAGTCCCAGCCACAGTGTCAGCTAGCCATGAGCATCTTGTGCTCACAAGCAATTGTTGCTCTGCTCAGCAGCATTAATGGGAAATCCCTGGTGTGCTTCCATGTCCATTTCCTCCATCCATTAGAAACTACGCAGGCTAGACTACCTGAAGCAGGCAGCCTCAAATTTACATATATTATAGTACACAGAGCAACCACAAAGAAATTATACAAAATTATACAATAAAAAAAAATCACGGTAGATTCCAAGAATGTTTAAATAATTAACAGGAAGACAGAAAGGAAGAAAAGAATAAGAAACACAGAAAACAAGTAATTAAATAAAAGATTTAAATACTAACATATCAATAATTACCTTAAATGTAAATATTAATGGTTCAATTTAAAGGTAGAGATTAGATAAGTGACATCAGTAAATTGGTGCATTAAGAAGCTCCAAGTCCTCATTCCTCCATGGAAACATGGGAAAAAAAGGCAGAACAACCAAACAAAAACACCAAAAACTGTTTAACATTATTGTATAAAAGCTCCTGAAAAGTTTCAAGGGTCTATAACCGTCAACTGAATGACCATTTTTTTTAATGACATTCAAAACAGTAGGAAATTGTATGACATTTTTACTCAACCTTGCCCTACTCCTTCCCTGGCATGGAACAGTCTTGGTCTGAAGAAAGTGGTAGCTTAGTTTTCAATTCCCTCCTTTGAAACCAAAGGGAGCACAGCAGATCTTAACTGTAACATTCTAACCTGTCTGGGGACTGCCTGAATGACTGGTCTCTGTTTTGCCTAACTTGGATCTCAGGCACAGAGCAGTGATGCAACTCAGATCTCAGACAGGGAGAAGAAATGAGTGCTGCTGAGAAAGCTGCAGGGAGGCTAAAATCTACAGATGCCTGGGGAAAGTTATTATGGGTGAAGAGACATAACAGACCACCTAAGGCTCTGAGGAGATTCTGGGGTTAGATTCTTTGGGAAATTAAGACACTAAAAAGCAGTTATGTATACAAGAAAATTGAAAAAGCCACAAACAAGCCCAGATATGTGTGTGTTGCATGCTCAGAAAAGACCAGAGGCCTTAATCTTTCATTCTGAGTTAATCTTAAAGTTCAAATAATACCCAGCAACTAAGTACAGAACTGCCTTGATACAAACCAGTTTGAAAAGAATGAGAAGGTAGGTAGCTGTTTTTCAAATGCTCAGGTTTTAACAAAGATCACAAGATTTATTAAAAAAGTAAAGAATAGTAAAAGATATTATATGAAAACAGTAATCAAAATATAGTTGGGTTGGCTATACAAATATCAGCCAAAATTAACTGTAAGTAAAATACTGTTGCAAGAGACAAAAGAGGAAATTACATATTAATGAAAGCATCAATTCACTAAGAATATATCACAATTGTAAACATCAGAGTCCCAAAATATCTGATGCAGGATTGATGTCAGAAAAATGGCAGAGTGGGAAATTATTCTTCATCCTACCACAAAAATTAACAATTAGACAGCTATCTTTGAATGAAAAAAGGCTCAAAAGAGCTCAAGATTCCAATTAAGATCCTGCAACAAAAAATGGAGAATAACTGCACAGAAAATATTGTTGGGTAGGTTGGCATACTTGAGATGTCTGGAGAAAGCTAGTAACAAAGAACAAGGGTGGAACCCATCAGTATTGTTAATGCAGTGGGTGCCACCATGGTCTCCAATTGCCTGCTGTGTAGAGGGCACCAGCAGTTTCTGTCACTGAGGTATTCAACCATTGGTGCGGCAAAACTCTTGAAGAAAGAAACACTTCTGCATCCACTCCTTTAAAAAGGAGGTTTTATTGTGCTGGTCTGGGACAAGGGCTAAGACCTCTCCAACCCCATGGCCACCCTGGACCTGGAGCAATGGCCACTCCCTGCCCACAATCCAGAACCCATCTTCACAGCCATAGCACACGTATCACTGCATTTCAGAAACTAGAGCCAGAGCCACTGTAAGATAGACCCACCCTGGTCCCTAGAACTGTGGTCACTCTGTGCATACTTGCACTCAAGACACCAGCTTTGCCACCACTTCATCAGTACTCATATCTTGTGATACAGCTCCAATGAATGGAGGAAAACCAGGGTCCTTTGCCTCACGCTGATTAGATAAAATTACACGCACACATATGGAGTGGTTTTAAGGAGTGGAGAGTTTAATAGGCAAGAAAGAAGGTAGAAACTCCCCCGCACAGAGACAGAGGGAGGGGGACTCCAAGCCAAGAGAGGAAAGCCCGAGTGTGGTGGAAAACAGTCAGTTATACTAGGATGCTGGAGGAAGTGGTGTATGATTTGCACAGTGCTCAGGGGATTGGTTTGACCAGGTATGCAATTCACATAGCCCGTGAAAAAACTGGCCCTCCAACCCTAGCCTTTTAATATGCAAATGTAGGGCGCCATAATGTCCTGCACACATGGAGTGATCTGGGGACAGCCATGATGCTTGGCACACAGGGCGACAAGGAGAAGAGAGTGGGAATTGCCATATTGGATGGACTCAGTTTCTAATGGCCGGCATTTGTATATCAAAGCTTGCCAGCTGGCCTTGCCCTTCAAGCTGCTTTTCTGCTAGAGTAGAAACATTTCTGGAGCTTCTTTAAAATAAACAAACCTTACCAAGGACGTCTTATCCTCTCTATCTGCCTAAAATAATTTCTTAATAACTCCTATAACATTCCCTCATGAGGAGATGTCACCCTAACTGCTGTTAGGGGGTTTTGGGCAACAACTCTTTCTGGCTACTTCGTGGTGAAAAGGGGCATCAAGTGAGGAACAGCAGCTAGGGCTCCTCCTGGGGTTGGTCCTTGGAAGAATGGCATGTCCATGCGTGGTTCACTTTGCTGCAGCATTTGGAGTTTGATTGCTTCTAGATGAGAGGAAACAATTCAAGTTAGTATTGAGTTACAAGGTCCAAATATTAATACAAGACACATAAGCAAAAGGGGGCTTAATAAAGGAGTTAACCAATTCCGTAAGGAAGACTGGGATTCATTAAAGAGGGATTGTAGCCACCTGGGGCTGAAGCCTGTATTTTATCTTAGCCTGTCAATAATTTTGATTTGATCTTTGAGTATCTGTGGATTTTCCTCTACTTTACTAGAGGTGTTAATCTGGAAGCAGCATGTTTCATTTAAAAGTGCATAGGTACCTCCTACTTCAAATTTAAGGACATCTAAGGCCTGTCTATTTTATTCTACTACTGAGGCTAAAGAGTCTATAGATTGCTATTGTGGCTCTATGGCATCTAGAATTGCTTTCCATCTTCAGTGCATCCTAATAGAGATATAAAGTACAGATCTTTCAAGGAGAGGGACACCCATAAATAAGAATAGACCTCTGGCTGTAGGATTTCCCATCCATGTTTTTTCTAAGATGGGATTGTCATGTGCATGCCCTCCCCAGTCTGCCCTTTCAGTTAAATCTCCATATGAGGGCACAGAAATGATAGATCTCTTTGTCCGGCATATTCTACATAGTGCAGTTTTCTAGAAAAGAGCCTAAGTTAGGGATGTCCCCAGATGATGCTGTCATCTGAGTAGAATTTAAAAATAATAAGTCGGTAACTACAGATACTAAAGTACAAGTTCCCTTCCAATGCCTTAGGAGGATTAAGTGTATCCAGGAGCCACAAAGAAAAGATAGCCCCGTTCCTTGAAGAGATGGTTCTAAGTTGTGGCTTGTGAGAGACACCGGCAGATTTTTCTCATATATTAGAATTTTCCCTTCTTTACATATAATAGGGGAATCCTTGGGATAAGGGTATGCATATTTAGGATAGTTATTTATGATGCCATTTGGAATTTGACATGCCAAGTGAGAAGGGTCCACCTGACAAATGGAGTTTCAAAAAATTAGAGATATTATATGCCCTGGACAATATCTTAGATGATCCTGCTAGCCTGGCAAGGGCTAGCAGTCCAGATGTCTCCAGGTTGCCCACATATCTGTAAGCCACTACTGTTAGCAAACATCATACAAGGGTCTGGAATTCCATGAGGTCACATGCTTGGAAAGGCCCATGTGTTATTCTTTAGATTATAGTTAAGGTGGTTACTTAGAGCATGCCACTCCCATCGGAGTCCTTCCAACCAGGAGAGGCTAGATTCTGAATGCCCCCCACTAGGTCGTCTGATCCTTTTAGATCACACTTGTTGTGGTCTCCTCCCCCAATCTTTGAACTATCAGCAATTACAAATGTGATGCTAAAATATCTGAGATCTCCCAAGTGTGGTCCTTCCCTGCTGCTTTTAAAGAAGAGGGAGGCATTTGCTGTCACTTGGTCAACTTTTCCTACCCTGAGGGTGTGAAGCTTGTCTTTGGGGAGAGTGTTCTTCGGCACTGGGGGCAGAGTGTTCTCCTGAGAGGAGTAAGTTACCCAGTTGAAAGTGCTCCCATACCGTGTCCCATTTATGCCTGATAAGTCTTTAAGGGTTAAAGGTAAAGTCAACAAAGGTAATCCTAAGACAGTGAATTCCAGGTCACTGTAAGTTTCCTTAGTGCCACTGAATTGAGCAAACTGCTTAGGACAGACCCAACAATTAGTCTTGTACAAATGGGCCATGGTGGATATTATAGGAGCTAAAGGATGTGACATATTACTAAGTGTGATAAAAAGTCCTAACAGACTTAGTGATAGTAAAACACTCACATTTACTTCCTGTTAGTAACTGTTATTCGTGCTATGAGGATAATAATTAAACAAAATGCTACAGTAATTGGGATTCTCTGTCCAATATTCCACCCTGCTGGTGCTACAGTATATAGTCCTACTGCAAATAGTAGAGTGAGTACAGCAATTCCTGCAAGGGTGGCATAGTAAATAATTTCCACCAAAAAGAAGTTGTAATATTTGGTGATGAATCTCAAAGGACAGGTAAAAGTGACAAAAAGTATTTAGTGAGGTAAGTGTGAGATGAGTAAGGTGAGTAGTTCTTACTCAGTTACTTATTTTTTGTGTGATTTTCAGCTTAAGATCTCCTATTTTTCACGTTGATATTCAGGACATTTCTCTGGGCTGTCAGGGGTTGCTCCATCAGCATTCCAAGCTTTGACTGAAGTGTGAGGTATCCAGGAGTCAATTCCCATAACTTTTATTGCTGAGGAGGTTGAAAGAAGAACAATGTAAGGCCCTTCCCAGCTTGGGCTTAGGGAGGGAGACAGAGAAGAAAGAGTTTTACCAGCACCAAATCTCCTGGCTTAAATAGAAGGGGTCCAATTTCCTGGGGGTTGACTTTCACAAACTGTGCTAATTCCTGTTGAAAGTGAGCAGAGAGGTTACATGCTTAACTAGCTCAGAGGTTTCCTGATCTAATAGAAAATCATTGGTAAGGAAAGGCCATCCATACAGCATCTCAAAAGGACTAAGACTTAATTTTGAAGGGGTATTTCTTATTTGTAGTAAGGCCGTGGGAAGAAGAGTGACCCAAGGCAGGTGAGTTTCTTGGGATAATTTTCTGAAGTGTCTCTTGATAATATCATTAGTTTTGTCTACCTTTCCTGAGGATTGGGGTCTCCAAGCACAATGGAGACGATATTATATGCCTAGTGCTTTTGAGACCCCTTGTGTCTTTGAGGCCCATTGCCACTTTGAAGATACTTATATAGACCAAAGCAGGGAGTTATTTCATTAACTAATACTTTTACTACCTCAGAGGCTTTTTCTGTATGGCAGGAAAATGCTTCTTCTACCCAGTTAGTGAAGGTATCTACCCATACCAGCAGGCATTGAATGCCTTTTGTCTTTGGCATGTGGATAAAATCTGTTTGCCAGTCCTCACCTGGATAATTTTCTATTCTTTGAGTTTGAGAAGGAAGGAGCCGCCTGTTCAGGGGATTATTTTTAAGACAGACTTCAAAAGCATTAACAACTTGCTTGACTGTTTTTAGTAAATTCTCTGCTGAGAACAATCTCTCGGCACATTAATAAGTTTTATCCTTTCCCAAGTGAAAGGCTTGGTGAAGGACTTTAAAGACTTTCCATTGGCTGGAGGCTAGCAAATGAAGTTTGCCAGCTTCTGACTGTAGCCATCCTGAGGGCTGAAATGTATACCGGCGAGAAGTGGCTCATTCTATTTCTGTAGGGGAGTACTGAGGTTTAATTTCTATTATGGAGCCTTCCCAGATTAGAGGAGTTTGAATTGTGTTGATGTCTGGAAGCTTCCTTGCTGCTGACTTAGCCGCCTGATCAGCTAATCTATTTATTTTGGCTACCTCATCTGTTCCCTTTTGATGTCCCCTACAGAAATGCATCATCACTATTTTTTCATGGAAGGAAAACTGAGGATAATAATCTGTTAATTTTGTGGTGATATTTTATAGGTGGTCCATTCATTGGTGGTAAGAAAATGCTTTTCCTTCCAAATGGCAGCATGAGCATGGAGAACCAAGAAAGCATACTTGGAGTCAGTGTAAATGTTAGCTGCCTTTCCTTTCCTTAAATCAGTTTGCTCTTGTAAGAGCTATTAGCTCAGCTAATTGAGTGCTTGTGCCTGGAGGGAGAAGAGACACTTTCATTGATGTCATATAGAGTGACTACTGTGTATCCTGCCTTATGGATACCTTGTTCTATGAAAGAGCTCCCATCTGTGAAGAGGGTCCAGTCTGGGTTCTCTAGGCATAGTTTCCCTGAGATCTTCCCAGGCTGCATAGGTCTGTACTCTGACTTGTTCATAATTATGCTCATGTTCCCGTTTCCTCGGGGATGAAAGTGGCTAGATTTAGGAGAGAACAGCCTTTAATTAGATGTTGGAACCCTCTCACAGAGAGCCTGATATTTAAGGAGTTGGTATGTGTTAGACAAAGTCTTCACCTAGAGTGCAGTAGTCCTGCCATATTATGTGAGGTGTAAACAGTCAAATCAATTCCCAGGGTTAATTTGGAGGCTTCTGCGACCAGCAGAGCCACTGAGGCGATGGCTTAGAGGCCAGCTGGCCATCCTTTAACCAGCAAATCAAATTTCTAATTTAGGTAACTCACTGGCTGTTGAGCTGGTCCTTGGGCCCGTGTTAAAACTCCCAAGACCATTCCCTTACTTTCTGATACATACAGAGCAAAGGCCTTCCCTACAGAAAGTTTGAGAGCTGGTGCCTTAAGCAAGGCTTATTTTAACTGATTGAAGACCCTTTGAGTTTCAGGTTCCCAGGTTAGACGATGAGCTTTAGCTCCCTGAGTTTCTTCTATGAGGTTATATAATGGACGGGATATTTCACGATACCCAGGTATGCATAGTCTACAAAATCCTGTAATGCCCCCAAATCCTCTTAGTTTCTTGAGGGTTTTGGAGGCAGGGAAGAAGGAAATTGGCTTAATCTTCTCTTCCCCTAATGCTCTGGCCCCCTCAGACAGCACTAAGCCTATATAGTTCACTGAGGTTTTGCAGAGCTGGGCCTTCAGTTTTGAAACCTTGTATCTTCTGTTAGCTAAGAAGTTGAGAAGAGCTTAAGTTCCTTTCTGAGAATCTTCCTCAGTTGGAGCACAGAGCAGATATCATCAATATACTGCAAGACCCTAACTTGAGGATGCTAACTTGAGGATGAGAGAGCTCAGAGAGATCTTTTGAAAGTACCTGTCCAAACAGATGAGGACTATCTCAACATCCCTGAGGCAGCACTGTCCATGTTAACTGGGTGGTCTGGCTGGAGGGATCTTTGAAAGCAAACAGGTATTGAGAGTCAGGATGTAATGGTGTGCAGAAAAAGGCAACCTTTATATCTAGAACTGTAAACCATTAACTCAAATAGAGTTAACAGGTTATAGGGATTAGGTACCACTGCATGAATTAGAACTACAGCTTCATTAATGAGGCAAAGGTCCTGAACTAGTCTCCATTCCCCATTGGGTTTCTGCACTCCTAATATTGGGGTGTTGCAGGAGCTACTATAGGGTTTGAGGAGGCCTTGCATCTTTGGGTTATTAGTAATGGCTTCTAGCCCTTTCCTAGCCTCTGGCCTTAGGGGATACTGTCTCTGATTAGGAAAAGAAGTTGGATCCTTAAGATAGATCTGGACTGCCTTAGTGGTTATAGCTATTCTTCCTTGAGTTGCCCAAACTTCTGGATTAATGTTAGCTTCCATCAGGGGGAGACAAATAGTTTGTTGTAGGGTTATATGGATGCTAACCCCCAAGTGAACTAGAATATCTCTACCTAATAAAGGAGTGGGAATTTCAGGCATGATTAAAAAGACGTGTAAATAGTAGGTCCCCCCACCTGCAGCTAAGAGGTTGAGAAAAATATTAGGTTAGAGTTCTCCCTGAGATATCCCTTGTGGTCATGCTATGGTAAGAGGAGAGACTTAAATTAGGAGAAGAGAGACTGACTCCAGTATCCAGAAGGTGAGCTACCTTCTTTCCTTCAATTTCCAGAATTACCTGGGGCTCCTATGCTGTAATAACTGTCTGAGTCACTGGAGCCAGTGGTTTGAGCCCCAGGACCCATCAGTCCTGCTGAAACATCTGTGAGACTGGTTCGGAAGCCAGTGACCTCTACCTCTGGGGACAGACCCATCTCCAGTGGTCTCTGCCACAGGCTGGACAGGGTCAAGGTGGCTTTGTCTTGCTGCCTGGGCCTTCCTTGTTAAAATGCCATGACTTGCCACATGGATAACAGCTAGTGGATGCACCTCAGGGATCCTAGACTTTGCAAGCTTGCAATCATGCTACTAGAGCCTCTGTTCTTGTATTTCCTCTCCTTTTCTTGGGCTTCCTCCTGATCCCTATTGTAAAAGACTGAAGTGGCTATTCTCAGGAAGTTCTCTAGGTTGCTATCTGGTCCTATAGATTGCTTCTGTAGTTTCCTTCTAATATCGGGAACAATATGTGTAATGAACTTGTCTTTCAGAATGAGCTGTCTCTCAACTGAATCAGGGGATAAAAAGGTGTGTTTTATTAGTGCCTCTCTCATCCTTTCCATAAAGGCTGTGGGATTCTCTAAGCCACCACCACAGTGAGGTAACACATGCTTCAAACCCTAGAGACACTGTCACTCCTCATGAGCCTGTGCTTCAGACAGCAGATCCACAGGTGCACCACATCCACCAACACATCAGAAATTGGAGCAATGACAATTTCCACTGGGCTAACTCCACCCTAGGCCCCAGAGCCACAGTCCCTCTGCATGCACTGCACTCTAGAACATGGGTCTTCCACTACTTTGTGAGCGTCCATGTCTCTGACATTGGAGTCACTTTCACAGTTAGCTAGATCATGCCCAGGGCTCAAGAGAAATTATTGCTCTCATGATGTCTAAGTTCTAGACCTGAAGTCAACAGCTGCTCCATAAACACTGGCACATCAGACATTGGAGAAACTCCACTGCTGTGAAGCCACTTCTACAGTAGGCATGTCCACACTCTGGTTCCTGGAACAGCAGTAGTTATTCATAAACCTGTGCTACAGAGCCCAGATCTGCAGGTCCTCTGTATGTGCCTGCATCCTGCATGTTATTACTGACATAGCAGTGGTGGTGCCAGCACTCCAGGCACTAGTGGCACCAGAATGTTGGCATACGGAGCTGTGGTTTTTCTACGTGTCCATACTTCAGACATCTGCACCATGAGCACTAGACATCAGACACCAGTGGTATCACCACCATAAATACACCAGCAAGAAGAAGATGGCACCAAGAAAGAACACCTCAGCCAAAACATCCACGTGAGAGAAAAAGAGATTTAAAAACCCCCAGCAATCTTCAGCACTGTAGAACACAATAACAGCCCTCACTGCTACTGCAGATACAGACAGCTGTGGCAACTGAGGTTCTCTGCAGTTTTTTGCCAATGTCAACTTTAGTGAAGAGCGTTGCATGGAGACTTTGTCTTCACCCAAAGTGGTTGGTACCATTCAATCTGCTGAGGGCCCAAATAGAAGAAAGGTGCAAAGAAAGACAAACTTACTCATTCTCTTTTTTCTGAAGTTGGGGTACCTGTCTTCTCATGCCTTTGGACATCAAAACTCCAAGTTATCTAACCTTTGGACTTAGTGACTTGTGCCAGTAGTCATCCAAGCTCTGAGGTCTTCAACTTCAGACTGAAAGTTACACCATCAGCCCTACTGGTTCTCAGGCCTTCAGACTTGAAATGAATCATGCTTTTCTGTTTTTCCAACTTGCACACAGCATATGGTGGAACTTCTCAGCCTCCATAATCATGTGAACCAACACCCCTAATAAATTTGCTCTCATACATTTATCTCTATATCTATATCTATCTATATCTAAGTGTATCTAGATCTATATACTTGCCTATATAGGCAAATATATAGATATAGTTATCCTATCAGTCGTGTTACTCTGGAAAACCATGACTAATAGATGGACTTGTAAAAAGCTTTCCATCAAAAAGCAACAGAATACACAATGTTCTGTAGCACACATGAAACATTCTCCAGGACAGCCCACATGCTAAGCCAAAAAACAAGTCTTACCAAATTTAAGATTTATAATACAAGTAGTATTTGTGACCACATGATATAAAAGCAGAAATGAACAGCAGAAAAGATTCTGAGAAATTTACAAACTATGGACATTGAACAACATGCTCCAGAACAATAAATAATCAAAAAAGAAATAAAATGGGAAATTTAAACAATATCTGGAGACAATAGTAAAAAACCCCAAAATATATGGGATATGAGAAAAGCAGTTCTAAGAAGGAGGTTCAAAAAATAAATGCCTATATTACAGAACAAGAAATATCCCAAATAAATCATCTAAAATAACACCTGAAGTAACAACAACAACAAAAACAAAAAACTAAGTCCAGTTAGTAGAAGAAAAAAAAAGAAAGAAAGATCATTGCAGAAATAAATTAAATAAAAACTAAAAACTAAAAAAAAAAAAAGAAAAGATCAAAACAAAGTAAGAGTTGGTGTTTTAAAAATACAGGGGACTTGGGCAAGATGGCCAAATAGGAACAGCTTCAGTCTGCAGCTCCCAGTGAGATCAATGCAGAAGATGGGTGATTTCTGCATTTCCAACTGAGGTACCCGGCTCATCTCACTGGGACAGGTTAGATGGTGCAGACCACAGAGGGCAAGCAGAAGGAGAGTGTTGTGTCACCTCACCTGGGAAGTGCAAGGGGTCAGAGAATCCCCTCCCCTAGCGGAAGGAAGCCATGAGGGACTGTGCCATGAGGAATGGTCCATTCCAACCCAGATACTATGTTTTCCCAACAGTCTTCACAACTCACAGACCAGGAGATTCCTTTGGATGCCTACGCTACCAGGGCCCTGGGTTTCAAGCAAAAACTGGGTGGTCATTTGGGCAGGTACTGAGCTAGCTGCAGGAGTTTTTTCATAACTCAGTGACGTCTGGAACACCAGCAAGACAGAAACATTCACTCCTCTGGCAAGGGGGCTAAATCCAGGGAGTCAAGTGGTATAGCTCAGCAAATCCCACCCGCAAGAAGCCCAGCAAGCTAAGATCCACAGGCTTGAAATTCTTGCTGCCAGCACAGCAGTCTGAGTCAACCTGGGACACTCGAGCTTGGTGGGGAAAGGGGTGTCTGCCATTACTGAGGCTTGAGTAGGCGGTTTTCCCCTCACAGTGTAAACAAAGCTGCCGGGAAGTTCAAACCAGGTGGAGCCCACCACAGCTCTGCAAAGCCACTGTAGCCAGACTGCCTATCTAGAATTCTCCTCTCTGGACAGGGCATCTCTGAAAGAAAGGCAGGTTCCCCAGTCAGGGGCTTATAGATAAAACTCCCATCTCCCTGGGACAGAGCACCTGGGGGAAGGGATGGCTGTGGGCGTAGCTTCAGCAGACTGAAACATTCCTGCCTGCCAGCTCTGAAAAGAGGAACAGAACTGCCAGCACAGTGCTTGAGCTCTGCTAAGGGACAGACTGCCTCCTCAAGTGGGATACTGACCCCCATGCCCCCTGACTGGGAGACACCTCCCAACAAAGGTTGACAGACACCTCATACAGCAGAGCTCCAGCTGGCATCTGGTGGGTGTCCCCTGGGGACAAAGCTTCCAGAGTATGGAACGGGCAGCAACTTTTGCTGTTCTGCAGCCTCTGCTGGTGATAAGTCTAGAAAAACAGGGTCTGGAGTGGACCTCCAGCAAATTCCAGCAGACCTGCAGCAGAGGGACCTGATTGTTAGAAAGAAAACTAACAGAAAAAAATAGCATCAACATCAAAAGGACATCCACAAAATAATCCCATCTGACGGTCACAACATCAAAGACCAAAGGTAGATAAATTCATGAAGATGAAAAAAAATAGGCACAAAAAGGCTGAAAATTCCAAAAACCAGAACGCCTCTTCTCCTCCAAAGGATGACAACTCCTCACCAGCAAAGGAACAAAACTGGATGGAGAATGAGTTTGATGAATTGACAGAGGTAGGCTTCAGAAGGTGGGTAATAACAAACTCCTTTGAGATAAGGAGCATGTTCTAATCCAATGCAAAAATGCTAAGAACCTTGAAAAAATGTTAGAGGAATTGCTAACTAGAATAACCAGTTTAGAGAAGAACATAAATGACCTGATGGAGCTGAAAAACACAGAACGAGTATTTTGTGAAGCATACACAAGCATCAATAGCTGAATCTATCAAGTGGAAGAAAAGATATTAGAGATTGAATATCAACTTAATGAAATAAAGCGTGAAGACAAGATTAGAGAAAAAAGAATAAAAAGGGATGACCAAAGCCTCAAAGAACTATGGTACAATGTGAACAGACCAAACCTATGTTTGACTGGTGTACCTGAAAGTGATTGGGAGAATGGAACCGAGTTGGAAAACACACTTCAAGATATTATCCAGGAGAACTTCCCCAACTTAGCAAGACAGGCCAACATGCAAATTCAGGAAATACAAGAACACCACAAAAATACTCTTTGAGAAGAGTAATCTCAATACACATAATTGTCAGATTCACCGAGTTTGAAATGAAGGAAAAAAAGATTAAGCACAGCCAGAAAGAAAGGTTGAGTGACCAACAAAGAGAAGCCCATCAGACTAACAATGGATCTCTCTGAAGAAACCCTACAAGCCAGAAGAGAGTGGGGGTCAATACTCAACATTCTTAAAAAAAGAATTTTCAACTCAGAATTTCATATCCAGCTATACTAAGCTTCATAAGCAAAAGAGAAAATCCTTTACAGACAAGCAAATGCTGAGAGATTTTGTCACCACCAGGCCTGCCTTACAAGAGCTCCTGCAGAAAGCACTAAATATAGAAAAAAAAACAGTACCAGACACTGCAAAAACATACCAAATTGTAAAGACCACTGACACTATGAAGAAACTGCATCAACTAACAGGCAAAATAACCAGCTAGCATCATAATGATAGGATCAAATTCACACATAACAATATGAACCTTAAATGTAAATGGGCTAAATGCCCCAATTAAAAGACACAGACTGGAAAATTGGATAAAGAGTCAACACCCATCAGTGTGCTTTATTCAGGAGACACATCTCAGGTGCAAAGACACACATAGGCTCAAAATAAAGGGATGGAGGAATATTAACCAAACAAATGGAAAGCGATTAAAAAAGGGGTTGCAATCCTAGTCTCTGATAAGGCAGACTTTAAACCAACAAAGATCAAAAAAGACAAACAAGGGCATTACTTAATGGTAAAGGGATCAATGCAACAAGAAGAGCTAACTATCCTAAATATATATGCACCCGATATAGGAGCACCCAGATTCATAAAGCAAGTTTTTAGACACCTACAAAGAGACTTAGACTCCCACACAATAATAGTGGGAGACTTTAATGCCCAACTGTCAATATTAGACAGATCAATGAGAAAGAAAATTAACAAGGATATTCAGGACTTGAACTCAGCTCTGCACCTAGCCGACCTAGTAGACATCTACACAACTCTACCCCAAATCAGCAGAATATACATTCTTCTCAGCACCACATTGTACTTATTCTAAAATTGACCACATAATTGGAAGTAAAACACTCCTCAGCAAATGCAGAAGAATGGAAATCATAACAAACAGTCTCTCAGACCACAGTGCAATCAAATTAGAGTTCAGGATTAAGAAACTCACTGAAAACCACACAACTACATGGAAACTGAACAAGCTTCTCCTGGGTAAATAACAAAATTAAGGAAGAAATAAATACATTCTTTGAAACCAATGATAACAAAGACACAACATACAGGAATCTCTGGGACACAGCTAAAGCAGTGCTTAGAGGAAAATTTATAGCACGAAATACCCACAGGAGAGAGCAGGATGTGGGGTTCGTCCTGCAGACCCTGACCCAGCAACCGATGAAAGATGTACACTGACGCAGATATTTTATTTGTCAGTCCGGCTAAGGGGCTCTGCTGCTCGAGTCTGCAGCATCAGCCTTGATAAAGCTGGCCCTGTGGGCATTTATTCAGCACAGATTTAATGACAAAGGCTTTGAGTCAACACACCTGTGGGTAATTAATCTGGTCACCCTCCCCCACCAGAGCCATTCTGCCCATAAATGATCAAAGGTTGGTCTTAGGACCACATGAGTACACAAGCTATTTAGATAAACTTCCTTACATTCCATTGTATCTAGTTTAAGCTATTAACTCAAGATAAGAGGATTAGGCTGCCTTCAGCCAAATCTTTTACTGAAGCTATGCAATCCCCCTGGCCTTTCAAGAAGGTTTGTGTCTATTTCCTATAACTATTTTTATAATTTTTTCACTATACTTTTTCCCACCACCCTGACTGAACTCCCACATATCCCCCTTTTCTGTTATTTATTTATTTATTTATTTATTTATTTATTTATTTATTTATTTTGCATCCAGCTTTATTGATTGAAGAGTACAGAGGTGTGCAGCAACAGGTCTGTCAGGCAAGGTGGTCACTGCTCTTATTCTGGCTTTGCAACCTAGAATTAACAAATAACATAAGACAAACATGAGTATGATCAACAACATTCTTTTCCAATCAAAGAGTGACCCCCAGGAGTGGGGGTCTATCCAGGAGAGAATATCTCACACACCCTTCCATATTGCTGTTTGTTGGGTGTGTAGATCTATGGTGTGAAGGGATTCTAAAATTTTAGTTTTAAGTGGCCTTATGTCTGCTGTTAAATTGTCATGAAAGGTTCCCCAGAGGTGTTGTTTCCTCTCATCCCCACTATGTATTGATTGATTCCATAGTTGAGAAGTGACACAGACATGTTTATGCTCCCAGTTGCAGTGTAATTGCTGTTAGAATGCCAGTGCATCTTGTCACTCCCCTACATATTCCAAGGCAGCCTCGAGGGCTTGCAGACATGCAAGAATCTTTTGATCTATACCCTGCTGTAAGAGAAGTTCATTAGACACATTTCTGGCCAAATTATCTACAAAAGCAGCTGTTTGTACTGATTCAGTAATAGATGCTACAGCCACACTAGCAGTTGCTAGGATGACTATGGCTGAGACTATAAAGGCTATAAGTGTGCCTATGAATCTTTTGGTTCTGACCTAGGACAGAGCACATTCTAAGGTGGCAAAGGCAGAGGAACCTTGCCAATTGTGTGTCAATTGACTGGTAGGAATGCCTCAGGTTGTCTCCTCAATACCATGACACTAGTAATATTTAAATTAGATATATTGTAATTAGTGATACATGAGGCGAACCAAGCTTGTCCCTGCACCCAGGTCACAAACTCAGGGTTTTGTGGTGTAATAGAAATATTGGTTCCCATAAGGAAAAAATATGGATAGGTAGTGCAAATTAGGCACTAATCAGTGTGATTATCAATAAAGGTTATAGTATAGTTGTGACTGAAATTATGATATGCCCCATGCCAGGTGTCAAGGGAGGTGCTAAGATGTCCCAGGCACCATAAAGTGTCTTGGGGTGGCATGGATTTTCCTTGGAGTCTGGGATATCTCATCCCCTCATTGGTCCAAATCATAGGGGAATGAGATGTGGCTGCGAAACTGTGATTGATGCCATGATGGATGAGGACATCAGTAAGGCTGCCTAAGATGTTATAATTACCTAACTGGAGGCTACAGGCTTGCCCCCCATGACAGACCTCCCAGCTAAAGTGGAATCCATTACTTCCCCAGCTTTGTTCTTTAGCACAGGAAGGAATGTTTGGGAAAGTGGCATTTATTGCATTGCCCGGTTTGAGGCTACCTGCAGCTAAGACTGTTAAGGCATTTCCTTTGCCATAATGTAGCCTTAATTGTGTTTGGGCAGGTACACAGTAAGAGCTAAAACTTTTATAACTTACACACAGTGAGAGGATAGTAGAGTGATATGTAGTGTTACCTGGCACCTTAGTCCATTGTGTGCCATTAATGAGGAACCCCACTGGGGGTAAATCTATCCCTCCTAGCCAAGCAGTTACGTTATTAATGGCAGGGAAGGGGGTGTCTGGCCAGGTGACAGGGTGAAAGAAAGGCGGATCTAAGATACGAGCTCAATAGAGTGTAGCAGGTACAGGTTGCAGACAAAGTGAGAGCATAAGAAGGATCAATACCCTATGCAAGTTGCAATGTACAACAGAGAGCATAGCAAGGAACACATTATCCGGAGTGAATGGTGTCTGTGTCTGGAGCAGAATTCGTTCAGCCTCCTGAGTTGTCTTCTTCAGCATCCCCCAGGTAATGTCCAGGACTCGTGTCGTTCGAGGAAGCTGCATCATCCGGGGCTGCGAGTCCTGTAGGGCAGTTCCTTCATTTCTGGTACCAGGTTGGGTCCTAGCCATGCCATAGTATGGTTTGATGCATCATGCTGGAATCCAAAGAGGACCTGAGGGGGTGTGAACACAAGAATATCCTCTTCCCTACGTTAACAATTCATTTGGACCACACCCTGCGTTACTGTTTACATCTTTCCATAAAACTGCAAACCTGCAAGTGCTTTTCTACAGCTGATTGAGATTTATCATCTAAATTTAAAAAATTAAGGGTAATAAGGCTTGTGCTGGTAGTGTTGCAGGGTCCTTACTCATACTCCCCCTTGTTTTTTGTGCATATTTTTGAAGAGTGAAATGGACACGTTCTACTATAGCTGTCCTCGGGGGTTATATGGAATGCCTGTGGAATACTGGATATTCCACGTGTGACAAAATTGTTGAAATTGCGAGAGGCACAAGCTGGACCATTATCAGTTTTAATTTTTGTGGGCTTCCCCATAAATGCAAAAGTTATAAGAAGATGTTTAATGACATATCGAGTGGACTCTTCAGGAAGTGCATGTGCACTAATTAGATGAGTGGTGGTATCAACGAATACATGCATGTATCTAACTTTTCCAAATTCAGGGATGTGTGTAACATCTGTTTGCCATAAATAATTAGGTCCTAGTCCTCCAGGGTTAACAGCTGTTGAAGGAAGGTACATGCCTGTGAGCTGGCAATCTGGGCATCGCAGGATAATTTGTTTAGCTAGTCTTTGGGTAAGTTGAAATTGTTTAGATAATTTTCTCCAGTTTTGGTGGAAGAATTGATGCGATTGGGTGGCTTGGTCAAGCCATTGTTGGTTGGAATGTATGTTAGTTTAGCCATTGTGGAAAGCAGTTTAGAGATTTCTTAAGGGACTTAACACAGAACTACCATTTGACCCAGCAGTCTCATTACTGGATTTATACCCAAAGGAATATACATTATTCTACCATAAAGACACATGCATGCTTATGTACACTGCAGCACTAGTCACAATAGTAAAGACATGGAATCAACCTAGATGCCCATCAGTGGTGGACTTGATATAAAAAATATGGTACACATACGTGATGGAATATCACACAGCCATAAAAAAGAATGATATCATGTCCTTTGAGACAAAATAGATGGAGCTGAAGGCTATAATCATTTTTTAATTTTTTTTAAATTATACTTTAAGTCCTGGGATACAAGTGCAGAGTGTGCACGTTTGTTACATAGTTATACACATGCTATGGTGGTTTGCTGCACCCATCGACCTGTCATCTACATTAGGTATTTCTCCTAATGCTATCCCTCCCCTAGCGCCCCACCCCCCAACAGGCCCTGCTGTGTGATGTTCCCCTCCCTGTGAACATGTGTTCTCATTTTTCAACTCCCACTTATGAGTGAGAACACGTGGTGTTTGGTTTTCTGTTCTTGCGTTAGTTTGCTGAGAATGATGGTTTCCAGCTTCATTCATGTCCCTGCAAAGGACATGAACTCATCCTTTTTTATGGCTGCATAGTATTCCATGGTGTATATGTGCCACATTTTCTTTATCCAGTCTATCATTGATGGGAATTTAGGTTGGTTCCAAGTCTTTGTTATTGTGAACAGTGCTGCAATAAGCATACGTGTGCATGTGTCTTCATAGTAGAATGATTTATAATCTTTTGGCTATATACCCAGTAATGGGATTGCTGGGTCAAATTGTATTTCTGGTTCTAGATCCTTGAGGAATTGCCACACTGTCTTCCACAATGGTTGATCTAATTTACACTTCCACCAACAGCGGAAAAGTGTTGCTATTTCTCCACATCCTCTCCAGCATCTGTTGTTTCCTGACTTTTTAATGATTGCCATTCTAACTGGTGTGAGATGGTATCTCATTGTGGTTTTGATTTGCATTTCTCTAATGACCAGTGATGATGAGCTTTTTTTCATATGTTTGTTGGCTGCATAAATGTCTTCTTTTGAGAAGTGTCTGTTCATATACTTCACCCAGTTTTTGATGGAGTGGGTTTTTTTTTTTTGGAAATTTGTTTAAGTTCTTTGCAGATTCTGGATATTAGCTCTTTGTCAGATGAATAGATTGCAAAAAGTTTCTCCTATTCTGTAGGTTTCCTGTTCATTCCAATAATAGTTTCTTTTGCTGTGCAGAAGCTCTTTAGTTTAATTAGATCCCATTAGTCAATTTTGGCTTTTGTTGCCATTGCTTTTGGTGTTTTAGTAACGAAGTCTTTGCCTATGACTATGTCCTGAAGCATATTGCCTCGGTTTTCTTTTGGGTTTTTATTGTTTTAGGTCTTACGTTTAAGTCTTAAATCCATCTAGAGTTAATTTTCATATACCATGTAAGAAAGGGGCCCAGTTTCAGTTTTCTGCATATGGCTGTCCAGTTGTCCCAAAAACATCTATTAAATAGGGAATCCTTTCTCTATTGCTGTTTTTTTTTTTTCAGGTTTGTCAAATATCAGGTGGTTGTAAATGTGTGGTGTTATTTCTGAGGCCTCTGTTCTGTTCCATTGGTATATATATGCTTTGGTACCAGTACCATGCTGGTTTGGATACTGTAGCCTGTAGTATAGTTTGAAGTCAGGTAGCGTGATGCTTCCAGCTTTGTTCTTTTTGTTTAGGATTGTCTTGGCTATGTGGGCTCTTTTTTGGTTCCATATGAAATTTAAAGTAGTTTTATATAATTCTGTGAAGAAAGTCAATGGTAGCTTGATGGGGATATCCTTGAATCTATAAATTACTTTGGGCAGTATGGCCATTTTCATGATATTGATTCTTCCTATCCATGAGCATGGAATGTTTTTCCATTTGTTTGTGTCCTCTCTCATTTCCTTGAGCAGTGGTTTGTAGTTCTCCTTAAAGAGTCCTTCGCATCCCTTGTAAGTTGTATTCCTAGGTATTTTATTCTCTTGGTAACAATTGTGAATGGGAGTTCACTCATGATTTGACTCTCTGTTTGTCTATTATTGGTGTATAGGAATGCTTATGATTTTTGCACACTGATTTTGTATCCTGAGACTTTGCTGCTCTTGTTTATCAGCTTAAGGAGAGTTTGGGCTGAGATGGTGGAGTTTTCTAAATATACAATCATGTCATCTGAAAACAATTTGACTTCCTCTTTTTCTATGTGAATACCCCTTATTTCTTTCTCTTGCCTAACTGCCCTGGCAATAACTTCCAATACTATGTTGAATGGGAGTGGTGAGAGAGGGAATCCTTGTCTTGTGCTGGTTTTAAAGGGAATGCTTCCAGTTTTTGCCCATTCAGTATGATATTGGCTGTGGGTTTGTCATAAATAGCTTATTATATGAGATACGTTCCATCAATACCTAGTTTATTGAGAGTTTTTAACATGAAGGAGTGTTGAATTTTGTTGAAGGCCTTTTCTGCATCTATTGAGATAATCATGTGGTTTTTGTCACTGGTTCTGTTTATGTGATGGATTATGTTTATTGATTTGCATACGTTGAACCAGCCTTGCATCCCAGGGTTGAAGCTGACTTGATCATGGTGGATAAGCTTTTTGATCTGCTGCTGGATTCTGTTTGCCAGTAGTTTATTGAAAATATTTGCACTGATGTTCATCAGGGATATTGGCCTGAATATTTTTGTTTGTTTGTTTGTGTCTCTGCCAGGTTTTGGTATCAGGATAATGCTGGCCTCATAAAATGAGTTAGGGAGGATTCCCTCTTTTTCTATTGTTTGGAATATTTTCAGAAGGAATGGTACCAGCTCCTCTCTGTACCTCTGGTAGAACTCAGCTGTGAATCTGTGTGGTCCTGGGAATTTTTTGATTGTTAGGCTATGAATTATTGCCTCAATATCAGAACTTGTTATTGGTCTATTCAGGGATTCAACTTCTTCCTGGTTTAGACTTGGGACCGTGTATGTATCCAGGAATTTAGACTTGGGACCGTGTATGTGTCCAGGAATTTATTCTTCTAGATTTTCTAGTTTATTTACATAGAGGTGTTTATAGTATTCTTTGATGGTAGTTTTTATTTCTATGGGATCAGTGGTGATATCCCTTATATGATTTTTTTATTGTGTCTATTTGATTCTTCTCTCTTTTCTTTTTTATTAGTCTGGCTAGTGGTCTATCTATTTTGTTGATATTTTAAAAAAACACCTCCCAGATTCATTGATTTTTTGAAGGCATTTTCGTGTCTCTATCTCCTTCAGTTCTGTTCTGATCTTAGTTATTTTTTGTCTTCTGTAGCTTCTGAATTTGTTTGTTCCTGCTTCTCTAGTTCTTTTAATTGTGATATTAGGGTGTCAATTTAGATCTTTCCTGCTTTCTCTTATGGACATTTAGTGCTATAAATTTCCCTCTAAATACTGCTTTAGCTGTGTACCAGAGATTCTCATACATTGTGTCTTTGTTCTCATTAGTTTCAAAGAACTTATTTATTTCTGCCTTAATTTCGTTATTTTCCCAGTAGTCATTCAGAAGCACGTTGTTCAGTTTCCATGTAGTTGTGTGGTTTCGAGTGAGTTTCTTAATCCTAAGTTCAAGTTTGATTACACCATGATCTGAGAGTCTGTTTGTTATGATTTCCATTTTTTGCTTTTGCTGAGGAGTGTTTTACTTCCAATTATGTAGTAAATTTTATAATAACTGTGATGTGGTGCTGAGAAGAATGTATATTCTGTTGATTTGACATGGAACGTTCTGTAGATGTTTATTAGTTCTGCTTGGTCCAGAGCTGGGTTCAAGTCCTGAATATTCTTGTTAATTTTTGTCTCGATCTGCCTAATATTGACAGTGAGGTGTTAAAATCTCCCACTATTATTGTGTGGGAGTCTAAGTCTCTTTGTAGGTCTCTAAGAACTTGCTTTATGAATCTGGGTGTTCCTGTATTGGGTACATATATATTTAGGAAAGTTAGCTCTTCTTGCTGAATTGATCCCTTTACCATTATTTAATGGCCTTCTTTGTCTCTTTTGATTTTCGTTGGTTTAAAGTCTGTTTTTTCAGAGACTAGGATTGCAATGCCTACTATTTTTTGCTTTCCATTTGTTTGGTTAATATTCCTCCATCCCTTTATTTTGAGTCTATGTGTGTCTTTGCATGTGAGATGGGTCTCCTGAATACAGCACACTGATGGTTGTTGACTCTTTATCCAATTTTCCAGTCTGTGTCTTTTAATTGGGGCATTTAGCCCATTTACATTTAAGGTTCATATTGTTATGTGTGAATTTGATCCTGTCATTATGATGCTAGCTGTTTATTTTGCCCATTAGTTGATGCAGTTTCTTCATAGTGTCAATGGTCTTTACAATTTGGTATGTTTTTGCAGTGGCTGGTATCAGTTGTTCCTTTCCATGTTTAGTGCTTCCTTCAGGAGCTCTTATAAGGCAGGCCTGGTGGTGACAAAAATTACTCAGCATTTGCTTGTCTGTAAAGGATTTTATTTCTCCTTCACTTATGAAACTTAGTGTGGCTGGATATGAAATTCTGGGTTGAAAATTCTTCTTTGTAAGAATGTTGAATATTGGCTCTCACTCTTTTCTGGCTTGTTGGGTTTCTGCAGAGAGATCTGCTGTTAGTCTGAGGGGCTTCCCTTTATGGATAACCCAACCTTTCTCTCTGGCTTCCCTTAACATTTTTTCCTTCATTTCAACCTCGGTGAATCTGATAATTATGCGTCTTGGTGTTGCTCTTCTCAAGGAGTAGGTGAATCTGATGATTATGTGTCTTGGTGTTGCTCTTTTTGAGGAGTATCTTTGTGGTGTTCTCTGTATTTCCTGAATTTGAACGTTGGGCTTGTCTTGCTAGATTGGGGAAGTTCTCCTGGATAATATCCTGAAGAGTGTTTTCCAACTTGGTTCCATTCTCCCCATCACTTTCAGGTACACCAATCAAATGTAGGTTTGGTGTTTTCACATAGTCCCATATTTCTTTGAGGCTTTGTTTGTTCCTTTTTATTCTTTTTTCTCTAATCTTGTCTTCATGCTTTATTTCATCAAGTTGTTCTTCAATCTCTGATATCCTTTCTTCCACTTGAGTGATTTGGCTATTGATACTTGTGTATGCTTCACGAAGTTCTCATGCTGTGTTTTCAGCTCCATCAGATGATTTATATTCTTCTCTAAAGTCGTTATTCTAGTTAGCAATTTCTCTAACCTTTTTTCAACGTTCTTAGCTTCCTTGCATTTCATTAGAAAATGCTCCTTTAGCGTGAAGGAGTTTGTTATTACCCACTTTCTGAGGCCTACTTCTGTCAAGTCCTTAAACTCATTCTCTGTCCAGTTTTGTTCCCTTGCTGGCGAGGAGTTGTGATCCTTTGGAGGAGAAGAGGTATTCTGGTTTTTGCAATTTTACGCTTTTTTTGCACTGGTTTCTCGCCACTTTTGTGGAATTATCTACCTTTGGTCTTTCATGTTCGTGACCTTTGGATGGGGTTTTGGTATGGACATTCTTTTTGTTGATGATCATACTATTCCTTTCTGTTTGTTATTTTCCTACTAACGGTCAGGCCTGTCTGCTGCCGGTCTACTGAATTTTGCTGGAGGTCCACTCCAGATCCTGTTTGCCTGAGTATCACCAGCAGAGGCTGTAGAATAGCAAAGATTACTGCCTGTTCCTTCCTCTCAAAGCTTCATCTCAGAGGGGCATCCACCAGATGCCAACCAGAGCTCTCCTGTATGAGGTGTCTGTCGATCCCTGCTGGGAGGCGTCTCCCAATCAGGAGACACAGAAGTCAGGGACCCACTTGAGCAAGCAGTCTGTCCCTTAGCAGTGTTTGAGCACTGTGCTGGGAGATCCACTGCTCTCTTCAGAGATGGCAGGCAGGAACATTTAAGTCTGCTGAAGTTGCATCCGCAGCCACCCCTTCTCCCAAGTGCTCGGTCCCAGGGAGATAGGCATTTTATTTATAATCCCCTGACTGGGGTTGATGCCTTTCTTCCAGAGATGCCCTGCCCAGAGAGGAGGAATCTAGAAAGGCAGTCTGGCTACAGTGGCTTGGTCAAGCTGTGGTGGGCTCTGACCAGTTAGAACTTCTGGGCAGCTTTGTTTATGCTGTGAGGGGAAAACTGCCTACTCAAGACTCAGTAATGGCAGACGACCCTCCCCGCACCAAGCTGGAGCATCCCAGGTTGACTTCAGAATGCTGTGCTGGCAGCAAGAATTTCAAGCCAGTGGATCTTAGCTTGCTGGGTTCCATGTGGGTGGGATGCACTGAGCTAGATCACTTGGCTCCCTAGCTTCAGCCCCCTTTCCAGGGGAGTGAACAGTTCTGTCTCGCTGGTGTTCCAGGCACCACTGGTGTATGAAATGAAACTCCTGCAGCTAGCTCGGTGTCTGCCCAAATGTCCACCCAGTTTTGTGCTTGAAACCCAGGGCTGTGGTGGCATAGGCACCAGAGGGAATCTCCTTGTCTGCAGGTTGCAAAGACCATGGGAAAAGCACATTATCTGGGCCAGAATGCACCATTCCTCATGACACAGTCCCTCACAGCTTCCCTTTGTGAGTGGAGGGAGTTCCCTGACCCCTTGCACTTCCTGGATGAGGCGACTCTCCACCCTGCTTGTACTCGCCCTCCAGGGGCTGCACCCACTGTCTAACCAGTCCCAGTGAGACGAGCCGGGTATCTCAGGTGGAAATGCAGAAATCACCCACCTTCTGTGTTGATCTCGCTGGGAGCTGCAGACCAGAGCTGCTCCTATTTGGCCATCTTGTTAGCTGCAAGGAGGCTATTATATTAAGGGAATTAGCATAGGAACAGAAAACCAAATATTGCATGTTCTCTCTTATAAGTGGGAGCTAAACATTGAGTACACATGGACATGAAGAAGGAAATGAGACTTCAGGGCCTACTTGAGGGTGGAAAGTGAGAGGAGGGAGAGTATCAAAAAAGTACATATTGGGTGCTCTGCTTGTTACCTAAGTGACAATATAATTTGTGCACCAAGCCCAGTGATACGTAATTTACCTATGTAATACACCTGCACATGTACCCAACTCAACCTGAAATAAAAGTTAGAAAAAAAGAAAAACTTCATTTTTATAATTCTGTTTCTCTAGAACCACTCTTGGTACCAAAATCTGTGTGAGGGTTCTCCAGAGAATGAAATCCAGTAGAATATAAAAAAAGTAAGGAAATTTATTATGAGAATTGGCCAATGTGATTATGAAGGCCCATAATACTCATTGGTGATTCTAATAAAAATTAAAGTTTGAAAGCCACTAATACAGATCATTGCTATGATGGTTAGAAGTATAATAGTTAACTTTAAGTATCAACTTGACTGCACCATGGGGTGTCCAGATATTTGGTGAAACGTTATTTATGTGGTCTGTGAGGATGTTTCTGAATGAGATCAGCATTTGAAATCAGTAGACTCAGTAAAGCACATTGTCTTCCCCAATGTGGGTGAGCATCATCCAATCCCCTGAAAACCTGAATAGAGCAAAAGCTGGATGAAGGGAGAATCTCTCTCTCTCTCTTACTCTTTCTCTGCATAGGTCTTCTCCTGCATTCTGACTTGGGCTGGAACTTACACCATTGTCTCTCCTACTTCTCAGACTTTTATATTGCAAATGTTGAGACTCAGCCTCAGTAATCACAAGAACCAATCTCATATATATATATATTATATAATATATAATATATATATTATATAATATATAATATATATATTATATAATATATAATATATATTATATATTATATAATATATATTATATATTATATAATATATATAATATATATTATATATTATATAATATATATAATATATATTATATATTATATATGTATTTATATATGTATATGTTTATATATGTATTTATATATAATATATATTTCTCAGCCTCAATAAACATATGAACCAATTTATATCTATAGATATAGATATAAATCGCCTATATATAAAATCTCTCATATATATATATATAAATATGTATGTATGAGATTGGTTCATGTGATTATTGAGGCTGAGAAGTCTCAACATTTGCAATATAAAAGTCTGAGAAGTAGGAGAGACAATGGTGTAAGCTCCAGCCCAAGTCAGAATGCAAGAGAAGACCTATGCAGAGAAAGAGTGAGAGAGAGAGAGAGAGAAAGAGATTTATATATAGGTAGTAAATATATATATATATATATATATATATATATATATATATAGAGAGAGAGAGAGAGAGAGAGAGAGAGAGAGAGAGAGAGAGAGAGAGAGAGATGTAGGAGAGACAATGGTGTAAGTTCCAGCCCAAGTCAGAATGCAGGAGAAGACCTATGCAGAGAAAGAGTAAGAGAGAGAGAGAGATTCTCCCTTCATCCAGCTTTTGCTCTATTCAGGTTTTCAGGGGATTGGATGATGCTCATCCACATTGGGGAAGGCAATGCGCTTTACTGAGTCTACTGATTTCAAATGCTGATCTCATTCAGAAACATCCTCACAGACCACATAAATAACGTTTCACCAAATATCTGGACACCCCATGGTGCAGCCAAGTTGATACTTAAAGTTAACTATTATACTTCTAACCATCATAGCAATGATCTGTATTAGTGGCTTTCAAACTTTAATTTTTATTAGAATCACCAATGAGTATTATGGGCCTTCATAATCACATCGGCCAATTCTCATAATAAATTTCCTTACTTTTTTTATATTCTACTGGATTTCTTTCTCTGGAGAACCCTCACACAGATTTTGGTACCAAGAGTGGTTCTGGAGAAACAGAATTATAAAAATGAGGTTTTTCTTTTTTTCTAACTTTTATTTCAGGTTGAGTTGGGTACATGTGCAGGTGTATTACATAGGTAAATTACGTATCACTGGGCTTGGTGCACAAATTATATATATATATATAGAGAGAGAGAGAGTCTGTGAGATCATTCTGTTTTTTTTTTCTTGAGAATCCTAAATAATACAATTAGATTACCCAATAAAGATTTTTGGTTGCTTACAGAAGCTCCACCACTACTACCTTCACAGACAATACTGCTGGAAGTGGAGTTGACATCATCAAAATGTTAAATGAAAACTTGTTCTTTCTTTGAAGTTAACTAAGTGATTATCTTACATAAATGGTCCAAATTCTGCTTTCAAAACTGTTTTGAATGCAATCCAATGAACACATAATTGACCTGTCATTGTCACTGGCTCTAACATAATCAATTTCTCTCAGAAGTCACATTTATTTTTGGTTTACTTATTACTCTTTTAGTCAGCACTACATCCAAAGCAGAATGTCTAGTAGTTTTTCTAAATTTTGTAATACTTTTTTTAAAAAGAAAAGTGAGTAGTTCTCTCAGAAATGTTCTGGGTTTTTTTTTCTAGTTTTCTCACCATGCCAAAAAGAAGAAAACATTTTGAGAGATTAAATAATGTATCCAAAGACACAGGTATTCAGAGTTTAAGTAAGGTGGATATGAGATTTTAACCCAAGAATGTAACAAAAATTCTATGTTTTTTACAAATCCATCAAGGAATTTGAGTAAGGCCTCTTTAAGACTGAACTATAAAAATAAATGTAATTGAAATAATTGGAAACTTTATTTTAAAAAGGGTTTATGCCATTCACAATTGTGCCGTATTTCATGGCATTTGGGCAATGCTATAATTTAATGCTCAGTGTAAAATTTATCCAGTGACATACTACCTACAAATGTAATAAAAATAGAAATAATAGTATTGTTAATGGAACTCACATTCTGTCTGAGGATAATGATAATAAGAGCTAAATTTTTAGAGCATTTACTCTGCTAGACTGTATTCTGTACACTTTAGAAAGGTAACTTTCAAAATAACCCTATGTTGTAGAAACTAATCATTTCTATTTTATAGATGAGGAAATTATGACACAAATTCATCCAAAGAGTGATGCAATAACCAAGCCACAGCCACCACTACATATATTCTGTGTATGCGCATTTTTGTGCCTGTGCTGCATGTAAGCATATGTGTAGATATATAAGGTGTGGGATAATATAGTGGTCAAAAACAGGACTACTAAAACAGATGCCTGAGTTTACATTTTAAATTTTGACTCTTCTTCCGTACTATCTGTGAGGATTTAGACAGGTTACTTACCTTTCTGTGCCCTAATTGCTTCATCTATAAAATTGCAATAATAGCAGTGTCTATTTCCAGAATTGCTGCAAAAATTAAATGTATCTATGGAATACACAGAACAGTACCTGTAGTAGTAGATGCATAAATATTATCTGTTACTATTGTGTGTGTTCATGTATATGTGTCTTAGGCAGAAAAATATGGTAGTCAAAATAAATTGTTTGTAAAAACAAATGCAGCATATGTGAAATTTGGTTAAACTCAGGTATAGAAAAGAATCTCTAAAAATGTTTGTAGGACAATTAGGAAAATTGTTATACAGACTGGATATTAGATTACATAAGAGATTTATTTATTTTGTTTTATGTGATAATGTAGTTATGTAGGAGAATATCTTTATTCTTAAAAAATTATGCTGAATTATTTAGAGGTAAATTGTTATAAAGTCTGCAACATAGTTTCAAATGTTGGGGCAAACAATATAAGACAGTGTATGAATGTGTATGGAATGATTAATTTTATGTCAATTTGACTGAGCTAAAAGATACCCAGATAGCTGGTAAAACATTTCTGGGTGTCTGTGAGAGTTATTCAGAAAAAACTTGGTATTTGTATCAGTACACTGAATCAAGAAGATCCTTTTTTTTTTTTTAATGTTGATGGCCATTATTCAATCCATTGAGGGCCCAATTTGGTTGTTTTGATTTCCTTTTTTTAAACTTCCAGTTCATTGTGTATCAAAAGTTGCTTACAATCTCCAGGCTTCAAAAGTGGATGCCACACTAGGATTAGATGTGGGCATCATGAATCCTTCATGTCTCCTGGAAAGAGACCAACATCAAGATTGGACGTCCTTTGGATGGCATTGCAGACCTCATTGCTTAATAAGCCATTAAGGTTTTAATCCTCATCCCACTATCAGTTGGATTTTCTGGCACTCTTCTTGCATTGAGTCTCCTGATACTGAACAGAGCTCTGTGGTGCAGCCTGCTGAGGAATGGAAGGAAGATGTCCAAGGGACGACCTGATGTAATCACTGCATACAGGTGCGAAAAGAGACACCTCTTCTGCACCACTCGGCTACCTCACTCCACTACTGTTAGCAGTGCCTATAGCTGGACCTAAGTTCTCAGAAGCATAGATTTGCTAACAAGCAATTGAGTTGGGCTTTAGGAGGACACATCATAGGAGAGAATCCAGAGTTTCTTAGCTGGTTTTCTTTTCAGGCAAGCATCCGGAGGGGCCTGTATGCAGGGGGTTTCATTTTTCTAGTTTGCCAGTAGAAATGGGAAGACTTGATATTTCAGTCCTTTACAAGACTTTAGAACAAATCTGTGTAATTACACAAGCTGAATCTTTATCTTGCCTAACATTCTGGGAATCTTCACCCCTCCAGGGTAAGTTTCCAGATAGCTCATTTCATTCTAGGTCCTTCAAACTTTTATGTGACATATTCCTCTTTCCCACTGTTACTGATTTCCAAATAGCTGTCAACAAGTTTTCCTTCCCATTTCCCATTCTTCACTTGTTTGGTGGCAAAGTTCATAGAAATTAGGAACTTGTAAGATGCTTTGAAAACACTGTTATAAAGGCACTGCTAAAATAATTTACATGAACAGTGGTCAGTTGGAAGAAAGTCTCTCAAGGATGATACACTGGTTTTAAAAAACATGCTTAGAGAACACTTGAAATGGATTGGGTGTCAACCCAGTGAACACAATGTTTTGATTTATTTTTTTAAGTTTATATGGTGACGGTGTGGCTTTCTGAAATGGGCAAATATTCAAGTCAAAAGATGTTTTATGCTTTCTTCTGCTAAGAATGGGGGATGGGGAGTGGGAGTACAATCTAAGAAAGGACATGTGTGCTATTCTCGGCATCTCCATCAAATTCCTGGGCAGGAATTGGCAAGAGTGAGTGGGCTTGCTGGGCATCATCTTGTGGTGCTTAAGACGACCTGGGATGTGCAAGGGAAATGTGTGTGGCATCAGGATTCCAGGCCACAGCCCTCTTTACAACTGTACTGGGTTCCTGCAGCCTGCTATATTTCCCTTGGCAATGTAAATGAAAAAGGAGGGGTCGTTTCATAATTTCCTGCTGCCAAGAATGTTAATAACATATATGAAAACAGTTTACTCTTTGGTGCCATGGATCAGTGTTAGGGTGGTTAGCTCTGAACTAAGCCATCCACCTCCAATTTGTACAACAGTATTGACACATAAGGTTATACTCATTACTGATCAAGTGTTCTATGTTAAAAATTGCGTTTAATTCCTAAGGATTAAAAAAGGCAAAACAAATCGGTGATAACATTTCACTCTTGAGCATACTCAGTAAGACTGGTTGTGTAAGCATTTACACTGTCATGCTCCTCAAGCCTATTTTTACTTGTAGAAGTGTTGCTCTATTTGTCTTTCCCAATGTATAGTATTTTAAAAAAATTTTATTTTCTTGAGGGTGGGGTAGAATACCTGACATTTAAGAAAATGTGTAGAAAATTTAAAAACCCAAGAAATAGAGAAAAATCAATGCACAATAATTGGACTGGTTAGTCCCAGTACCACACTGAAGTGGGCTCGGTGATCTTCAGAGTGAAGAAGCCTTCCTTATTGTACAGTCCCTCATGCTCCCACAAAAATCCAGCAATGGAAATGCTTGAGTTATTTTTGCCTGATCAAGGGGACTCAGCAGTCAAACAAGGAAAACTGTTGGGTCCTATGAGGAAGGAACACTGTCGATATCTGTCCTGAATGGGGCGTAGTGAGGAAGTGGTCTAGAAGCGTATGGTCATTGTCACCTCATGAAAATATGTGGTAGGTGGCTCTCAGGAAAAATACCAAGACTGAATTATCTTATCCATGTGGCAGCTTTGCATAGGAAGATGAATGCTTCAAACGAACTGAACTGCCTTCCACACGATTGACACAAGCAATGAGGGTGACCAGTACATGCAGTGTGAGTGGTAGGCTTAAAGATAAGGAAATGTTTTCTGCTGGGTGTTCCCTTTGTAGGGACAAAGGAAATGCTTTCTGCTGGGCTATAAATTAATACAATAACAAAATATCACTACACACTTATTAGGATGGCAAAAAATCCAAATACTTCAATTTCAGGTGAGGATGTGTAGCAACAGGAACTCTCATTCATTGTTAATGGGAATGCCAAATGGTACAGCCAGTTTGGAAGACAGTTTGGCAGTTTCTTAAAAATTTAAAAATATTCTTATAAGAGGACCCAGGAATCATTATCCTTAGTATTTACTCAAATGAGTTGAAAATTTATGGCTACATCATAACATGCACACAGATGTTTATAGCAGCTTTACTCATAGCTGCCAAAACTTGGAAGCAACCAATAGGCCCTTCAGTAAGTAAATGGATAAATAAACTGTGGTACATCTAGACATATTATTCTTTACTTAAAAGGAACTATAAAATCATGAAAAGACATGGAGAAAACATAAATACATGATTATTAGTGAAATTAATCTGAAGAGGCTACATACTGTATTATTTCAACTGTATGAAATTCTGGAAGGCAAAACTATGGTTACAGTAAGATCAGTGGTTGCCAGGGGTTAGGGGGCAGGTAGGGATGAAGAGGCAGAACACACAGCTTAGTTCAGGACACTGCAGCTGTGTAATATTTTAATGATGGATACATGTAATTATACATTTGTTAAAACCCATAGAATGTACAACACCTAGTGTCAACCCTAATATAATCTTTGGATTTTGGGCAATGCTGTGTCAGTGTAGGTTCATTGATTGTAACAAATACATCACTCTGGTGTGGTATGTTGATAGCAGGGGAGGCTGGGTGTGTGAGGGAAAAGGGACATGTGAGAACATACATGTATATCTGTACTTTCTGCTCGATTTTGCTGTGAACCTCCAACTGCTCTGAAAATGCCACAAAGCTTGCTGTTCTAACTAAAATTCAGCCACATTTTCTCTGTGTGTTCTTGCAAGACTTTGGATAATTTTCAGAGTTTGGAAAATATTAATTCTAACATTTTTTTCCATCTGTTCTTTTCAAAAAAATTTTTTTGGAAGTCTTTACTCCACCAGTTTTACTGACTTCACTCTGGATATTTCACATGATCTAAGAAAAGAAAGCCATTAGCAGAATTCACTTTTAATACTTTCATGGAGGGATTTACTCAGTACAGCCCATGGAAGAGAATCACATCAGGATATACACATGTATGAGCTGAATAAAATGATGGGGTTGAAGTGGTAGTGGTGCTAGGATGCACAGTCAAATGCACAGGAGCCTGAGTCCTTGGAAAGGAGTAAACAATGCCACACTTAGCAATTTCTCTAAGGGTTTCCCCTGTGGGGCTGTTCAAAGTTACTTCATTTAGGCATTGGAGTGGGTGAAGAAAATCACCTCTTCAGAGATAGTGGTCACTCAGTGAGTTTTGAAAAAAAGCATTTTTTTTTCAGAGGCAAAGATTGTTCACGTGAGGTGAACTAAAGGAGTTTGAGTCTTTTTTAGAATCTACCCAGGCATTAGAAACCCCTAAGAATATGATAATTATCTTCCCAGGACACTACTCTCAGAAGACTCATTTTCTGAAAGTTTTCTATAAAGTTAGTTGAAAATTCCTCTCAATTCAAATTCATGTCCTTGTCTTATTACCATCTTACGTGTCTAGAAAACTAAACAGTTTTACTATTTTAGCTATAACCTAAGACAATTTTCATGTATATCAATTTTTTGTTTCCCTTTGAAATTGTGAAAGTTATTTTCCTTCATTGCATGTATATTAAGTACTTGCCACACCCATGAATGCTTGCACGTGGATGTGGGGGAACAGAGTCTCTCTTTACTACAGTGTTGAGAAATTGTGGGGTTCATTTCCTATGTATATGCATATTCTAAAGAAGACTCAATGTGTTGTTTTAATCTTGTTATTTTAATGTTGTAATTCTTTCCATGGCAACTGTTGAGTTTAGATATTAAAATTCTGTAATAACATAGGATAAAGAGAGGAATATAGAAGCAGCTGAGAGGGGCAACATTTTATGTAATAGAACTTAATGTGAGTAATGATGGGGAATAGCACGCTACTCTTCATCTTTTATGTCTTTAAACAAAATTTTATTTTAAAACATGTGTAAAGATTGTTCACATTTTTGTTTTTTTTTCTTTTTTTTTTTGAGACAGAGTCTCGCCCTGTCACCCAGGCTGAAGTGCAGTGGCGCGATCTCGGCTCACTGCAAGCTCCGCCTCCCGGGTTCATGCCATTCTCCTGCCTCAGCCTCCCGAGTAGCTGGGACTACAGGCGCCCGCCACCACGCCTGGCTATTTTTTTTTTTTTGTATTTTTAGTAGAGACAGGGTTTCACCGTGTTAGCCAGGACGGTCTCGATCTCCTGACATCGTGATCCGCCCATCTCAGCCTCCCAAAGTGCTGTGATTACAGGTGTGAGCCACCGCACCCCGCCGATTGTTCACATTTTTTTAAAAAAGTGTACCTTTGAAGAAATGGTGCAAGTAGATAATTTTAGATAATCCTAATAGAGACCATATCCACTTTGGACAGAAAAGAGAATATAATTATAGGAATAATGTGTCTCTACTTTGTTTTGACATTGGAAATAATGTGGAGGGAGGGCAAAGTGCAGCAATCACCTAGTCTAATCAGAAATTAGGTAATATACAAGTAACTTAGTGGGATCACTGTCATAGTTTTCAAAGTAAACAAATCTCTTATCTACTAATGCTCAATAACAAAATTATGTTACAGTACTTGATAAAATATACTACATAAGTAAATGGTGGTTAAAAAATATTACCCATGATTTCACTGGCATGTTACAAACAAAACATCATTGGACAAACACAGGGATATTTTTGGCTTGCATTTGTTATTTCCCACAATTTATTACTAAATTTACAGTTGGCTATTTTTATGTAAATGTGGAAAGTATCTATGCTTTCTGGTAAAGTTTGAAGTGCCAGACAAGGCACAACTTATCCTTGCATATTAAAGGATAAACCATCTTGATAGTGTTGGTGGATCACTTGGGCTTTCTATTGTAATCATGTCTTTTACTTCAAGCCTCAGTCATCTGGTAATTTACATTATGTAGAGAAAATGCACCATTTTCAGTTTAAGAGCATTTACACTAAAGACCGGGGCCTGTCAGGGGGTAGGGGCAAGCTGAGGGAGAGCATTAGGACAAATACCTAATGCATGCGGGGCTTAAAACCTAGATGACGGGTTGATAGGTGCAGCAAACCACCATGGCACATGTATACCTATGTAACAAACCTGCAAACCTGCATGTTCTGCACGTGTATCCCAGAACTTAAAGTTAAAAAAAAAAAAAGACACATTGATCCATATTTCACACAAGATAATCTTCTGTAGAGTTGCTAGGCTATTGCTGAAGTTGTTTAAATTTCAAGAAAACTATACTGAGCGTTGTGCTATCTTCACAATTTCTTTTTCCATAGTTCTTATTCTTCTAATAAAGCCTCTATTCAAATCTATTTTTTCACTGGAGTGATCACTTATGATAACTGCTTGGATATGTGCTCAGCACATACAGACCTGGCTAGATACACTATCTGGCTCTGCTAAATGTGTGATGCTAATGTGTGTAGGTGGTGGAGTCAATGCTAAATCATAACATTTTGATAAATTTCCCTTAATGATGGTGTTATTTTATTTATTTCATCACCAATTATGTTTTTATCCAACATACTGTAGGTAACACTTATTTGAGAGGGAGAATAAGATAAGTAAACTTTACCAAAGTAAAATCAAATGAAGTTTGGGAAATGAATGAATGCAAACCATTTGTATGATGAAGCTATCGGTGAAGAAGATCATTTCTTCAGAGATAGTGGTCACTGAGTGAATTTTGAAAAAATGCATTTTTTTTTAAGAGGCAAGGGTTGTTCACATGAGGTGAACTAAAGGATTTTGGGTCTTTTTTAGAATCTACCCGGGCATTAGATATCTACAAGAATATGATAATTATCTCAAGCTATGTGGGCGGTGTTATTTTTTGGTACATGGTAAAAGTCAATTATATAGAGCCATAATATACTGAAGATCAGTCTCTTCGCATGCTCCATATTTACAACTTCTAATGAAATCACTGGGGATTCTGTAAAAATTCCAGGGTAAATTTTCTTCTTACGTACTGTTCTGAACACACTGTAAGCAATTTGGTGATGTTTGAAATAATAGGCATTTACCCATTTTGGAGGTGGCACATTGCTGTATGTTTCCCAGTGATTTTATTTTAAAAATCATTTTAATCTAATAACAGAGTTTCTACAGTGTTTTTTCCTTATAGTGTACAAAAGCACAAGACAAAACAGGTATAAAAACTATTAGATAAATAATAAAGAGTACAGTTATACTTATTACAGTTATTATAATCTATTTAAAAATAATTTTCACCAAAAAGAGCCCACACTGCTCATATAACAATTTTTTTGTTAACAGTAAAATACATTTTCCAAAATAGTAGCTACACATTTCAGAACTATGTAATGAATAACAACATGGTAAGAAACTGTTCTTATTTAACAAACATATAGTCAACATGAAAGCAAAGATTGACATTTAACTCACCATTGGAAATTTCAGTCATGTCTTAGATGACCCACTACTGAAATACTGCTCAAAATATTCATTTACAGAAACACAGTAAGTTTTTCAGAACACTTAAATATTTTTGCACTAAAAAACTAGAACTGGTGATATAAACTAGAAGGCTAAAAAGGTGTCCAAAATTTTTATAAATCTATATTTATATTCACAATTTTCCTAAAAAGTTGAATTACTTAAACTGTACTTCTTCTTAATTTAATAGTATAGGAAATGGTGTCAGCAATTTCACTGGGTTCTGGGTAAATACATTTAGATGTTTCTGTTTCATTTCCCACTCAGTGACTATAATTCCTTTCACTAATATTTTATTTAATGCTAAACAATTGAATTTGAATTAACTGAAACTTCAGACATATCTTTAAGATAAATACCTACGGATCCAATTTGTGTGTTTAGATTTGAAGTCAGATCTTCTTCTCACTTTATTCTTTATCAGATGAATTGTTTTACACATCGTGAAACAGTATTGTAGGACTTGTGCCATATGTAATAGTTATTTTTGGTCTGCTTCATATGGGAGAACACAGTTATTCAATGGTTTGGATCATAAATAACTTAGGTATTTGTTGCATTGTTTATTACACAGTGACATGTTACTGATGTGAATTATCTGAATAAGTGTCTTAATTCTTCTTAATTCTCTGTTTTGTAGGTTGAGACATTAACTCTATGCCCAGAAGAACTTCAAAAAATGTTGTATTAGGGCGCACCAAGAGGATGCAAAAAGATTCAGAACTGCGGAGCTCTACAGAGCAGACGGTCAGTCTCCTCCCAAAACAAATGGCACAACAGAAATGGCGGAGGCAGGGCAAAAATACTACTGACAAGATTGAAAGAAGATTGAAAGACACATAAACCAAAGGCAATGTGTGGCCCTTGCTGGATCTTTATTTGTGCAAACTCAATGGTAAAATTACATTCCTGAGACCTTTTGGGGAAATCCGAACATTAATTGAGGTATAAGGTATATCTATAAAGGTATTCATAATTTTCTTTGGTGTGATAATGGTAAAGTGCTTATTTTTCTTTTAAACTTTATCAGTTGGAGATACATGGCTGGTAAATTTACAGTGAAATTACATAATGTCTGAAGTTTACTTTAAAATACCTCAGAGGGGGAAAAAAGCATGCAAATGAGTGTGTGTATAAGAGCTGGGATACGTAAAACAGAACTGGCAAATATCAACAACCTGAGCTGAGGCATGGGTACAGGAGAAGGCTCATTCTGTATTTTTGTGCATGTTTAAACATATCCACAATAAAAATTTCCTAAAAAAAAAGTTGTAGTTGCTTATTTCAAACTAGAAGGAAAAGTTACTAACACTGATTTCACTCAATCTAAACAGAGACTACTGCCAAGAGAATGATACTTTTCTATTTAGTCTAGTGGTAGTGTATGGATATAAAGTGAATGTGGTTTCCAGAGATATACGGGATTTGTTTTAAAAATACTGGAACATTTTTATTTAAAGATCAAATCAGAGTTTGCCATGTCAACTTATAGTTTTAGCGTCAGCCATCTATAAATTGAACAACTAAACTGTGTCAAAAGAACTTAAAGGCAAATTGAAAACATATTCATATAACAATATCGTCCAATTACAATGAGTTGAGATCTGGAAAATGCAGATAATCCATTGGGTTATTTCCAATCTTTATTAAAAAATATTTAATCTTTTTGAATAAAATACATAAAATATACTGAACTTTATTCAGTAAATATGATACTGCATTATAATTTATGAAGGTGAATCATCTAGGAAAAGTTTTACATCATAATGTACCATTAAGTCTATAGGAATTTAAAATCTATAGGAATTTAAAATGTGTAAGTTTGTATGATTTGACATAATTTTATGTATGAAATCTAAATTGACGTGGCTTTCATTTCTTAAAAGTTTAAATGATTTTACTTATAATTTTTATATATTCAAATCTAAACTGAAATGCAACTTATCTTTTAAAAATTCCCAGGAATTACACAGTATCACGTAATGATGCTTAAAATAATTTTGACACTTCTTACTAAAGAAAGGTATTTTATAATTTATACCAGTCTGAGCTCTAAATGATACAGTAAGCCAATTAAGTCATTTCTTCACATTTAGCTGCCTAGAATTCCTGGGTTTTGCAAGAACTGAGAAGTGAATTTTTATCTCTAGAATCATGGCTTCTGAATTAAAGTCTTGTTAGTATATGTAGTTAAGGGAAATCTTGAAATATTAGAACTCCTAAAATTGGACTCTCTATAATGCACACATGAAAGCTTTCTCTTCTAGAACGGGACCATCCACAAACACAATTCTACCTGACTAATAATCATGACATTTCTAGACTCTCCCTCACTAGTAATTAAACTTGGCATAGTGTCATTTTGTCTTTTGGTAATATAAACAGTAACAAATTGCCCCCAGATGTCATTTTTTGCATCTTATCATTGTGAGCATAAAGAGGTATCATTTCAATAAATGAAGAAAATGAGGAAGCAAAATGGGAGGAATTAAAAACTTGGTCCTCAGGAAAATGGAATACATGCTCCCTTTTTGGAAACTGTCAGGATTACCAGAATTTATATATCTCTTCTATAGAGGTACTTTCCCTAACTTAGTAAATAGTTGCTGAATTTCATAGAAATCTATTCACAGCATATTGAATATAGTCCTCTACATTTTGAAATCAGATAACTTTCCTGGCATGGTTTCTGTTTTGGTACACATATTATTTATCTAGAAGAATATAATGCCTTTCAGTTGAAATATGTATTTAGGTGCTTTTAAAGGAAGTCAATTTTTAACCTTAAAACTGCTAAAATTTACACTTTTTACTTGCTGACATTATTAAATGCATTTTACCTGACGGCAAATCTTTCGATAAGACAATAGTTATCTGAAGTTCACTGCCTTAACAACCATTGGTTTTTTAAGGCATTTAACTCTCAATGTCCAAAACTACCTTACAAAACTCCCAAAACCATAAAGAAAATAATTTATGTAGAAATCTTTTGCGTTCAAAAAGGTTACATGTGAAGCTTAGAGAAAATTATTTACAATTCTGTTTGTTCAAATATCTGCAAACATATGTTTGTGTTGAATCTTTAATTTTACTCGGGAGAAGTGAACATTTATAATAACTTTTAAAACACATACATGTAATGGCTATCTAATATCAATTTTTATTTTAAAAATATTGGAAGTGAGTACTACACATAATAGAAGAATGTGCTTTTTAACTCTGATTTTACAAGTTAAAAATATGACAATGCCTGTATTATTTTTCCTTTTGGGATTAAAGCCACCTGCTATATAGACAAATTTTATTTATGTTGTCCTCCTATAATAAAAGTGAAATTACTGAATAGAATATTAGTGTGAACACTCATACTACTTCTACTGTCATTTTCATGAAGATCAACCTCCCCCACTGATATTGGAGTTATACAAATACTAAAACAAGAATTCAATCCCATGTTTCTGGGTTCTGTAGTTGAGCCAAAGGACCAGGTGTGACTGAACCATGTCTATTCATAACATAAGGTGGACTACTTATTAGCATTTTAGAGAATGGTTCAAATTCTACCATCTAAAATATATAACAAGTGAATTGTCAAAAAAATTACCATGACATTACTTGGGTTGGGTTATTCGACTCATCAATTTTAATTTGGAAATTAAGAAGAAAAATTTTTTCAAAGAGGGCCCTCTGAAGACATTTCTTTCTTAGAAAGGTCATTTTATGCATTTAGAGGGGCTAATTATTTTGCTCTGAGCTACTAAAATGTATATCTATATGATACTATTTTTCTAGGACAGGGAGGTTTGGTTTATTTGACGGGCCATAAAAAACACATGCACATAAAATTCAGCTGTTCATCTATTGTCTATCTTTTGCTCTTTCAAGAGTTACATATAGACAAAAAGTGTGTTTTTGTTGTTGTTTAAAACAAATACATCCATGTAGCACTGCCTTAAACATGAAAATTGTGAAAAAATCACCTTACACTCCCCCATAAAAAAGCAAAAGAAATTATGTGTTACGCTCAAAGATCACGAGTTACATGCTGAATTGGCTTCCAAATAGCATATATGCTAAATAATATGTTTTCTGTTAAAACTTGTAAAATTCAAGAAAAACTGTTTCCTTAATGGAGGATTTAAGAGCAAAACACTGAAATCCCAACAGATTTGCTACTTTCAATATGTGCTGAAGAAATATTCATTAAATGGAGCAGTGGGTCAGCAATAAAATTTCCAAATGCTTATTACATAAATTTTAACATTATAACTTACAGAATATAACCACCAAATAGAGAGCACAACTAAAAACAAAATGTTAAATGCATTTTATTTTACAATGGTAAAGGAAATAAATCCCAGATTAGGTTAAAATGTTGGGTTTGATGCCTTATCAAAGTGGTCTTCATGAAAATATTTACCAAATTATAGTTCTACATATCTCCCAATCCTGTTTTAATGTTAATTTACAATGTAAGTTATATTTCTGAAAATCTTCAATGAGTGAGACATATGCGCTCTTAAATCAATGTAATTTTGAAAAGTATTGGAAACTTTAAAACTTCAACAATGTTCTCAATTATATGCTTTAACTTCCCATATTTTTAAAGTTGAACGACTACTTCCAGGTAATAGATGCACTGAATAAAAAGGATTTTTAATTGTATCTGAGGCATTTTTCATCTTATTTTTATCAATGCATAACTAAACTGTGACTTTAAAGACAAATGTTAAACTCTCTAATTTGAATGTATTTTAATAGATCTTTGCTGATGTAAGAAGATGGAATTTGGGCACAGAAGGCTTTCCGAGTTTTGAGGGGAAGTTGACATTTCTAGCTCTGATATTTTTGTCTTGAATTTAGATGGCTTTTCTCTAAATTAAATCAACTAGTTAATCCTTCTCTTTCAATTCTGTTCAACTAAATTGGGCATGAGTCACTATTAGAAGAATATATAAAACTTTAAAAGTTATAAATACCCTACTTGTAGAAGTTTGATAATAATGTGTGGATATTTTTGAAATACAAGAATATTCTGGTTTAAAAAATATGTATCTGTAGCTGACAAAATTTGTCTCACAGATATGAATGTTAGAATTATATTAAAAATTGCTTTCTTTTTTGGTTTTGGTTAGGTTCCTGAAAAAAAAAAACTTCCTAAACCAAGACTCAGTATTGCGTTTGTACAAAATAAAATGGCTACATATTAAACAGGCAAAGATAATACTGTTTCTCTTTGGTAATGGGATGTCATATGCTTTAGAGTAGGGTTTTTAAAAAAATAACTTCTATTAACTCCTTTTGGCAAAGAGGCTAGCATTCATTAATTTACAGAAAAACTTTTCCATTTACTACCCTAATCAGCAGAATGAAATAATACTCCTTCTCAAGGGAACTAGCCTAATCCTGGAGAGATATTCATACACTATTGAAGACTGATATTTTTCTGGTTGGTTGGGAGCAAAGTACTAGCTTGGTAACGGTATCTATAGAAAGCAAGCCATGAGAAATAAAGCTACAGCTTTTTCTTCAGTGATACCATCCCCATTCAAGAGGTTTAAATTCTTTCTCTTGAGAAAATCATAGATAGCAGTTCTGAGAGCTTTGCTGTTACAAGGGAAATACATGCTTAAAATGTTAGGAGAACATACCTAGCTTTCAGGCCATTCTTCCATCAGGACTTAAAGCTTTAGGAGAATACCATAAATAATTTGCTTTTTAGGAAAGAAGGAGTTTAAATTCTCAATGGGATCAAAGAAAGCTATGGGAGCACATGGGGTATGAGATATTTCCAAATAGCTTCAGAATTCTGCTATTCAGTGTCAAATACCACTCTGGAAAATATTGAACCTACTGAATCTATACCCATGACATCACAATCATAGTCCTTTCATTTCTAAATATTTTATTGTAATTACAAATTCTTTGTCAAGAAAGTGGTAAGTCCATAGTGTTTTAAAGCCTCAGGGTTCTGTGATATATAATTCTTTAAAAATATACTGATGGCCACTTGTGCTGTGGTATAAAACATCTCAGAAATATTGGTTATTTGAAAATGCCGTATTTGGTGTACTTCTGTCCAATATTGTAATACAGTGAAGATAAGCACAGTCTATAACTGGCAAATTATCGGGATACAACTGTCAGGTCATGTTGTGATAGAAAACGTGATGGTCAATAAAAACTGAAATGGAAACTCACAAAAAATCATAACCAAGTGGAAATACTGAAGTTTTCCAATGGCCTGATCCATATTAATTTAAGACAGCTCCTCTTCTGACACTTCAGGTAATATTGGTCATGAATTATTTTCATTATGGGAAGAAAATACATTTTTAATCCCACTGGTAGATTTTTCTAGCAGTATACTCGATGTAGTAAGTATATATTTAGATATACTGTAAAGGTATACAGTTGTTGAATAAATTATAGTGTTACGCAAAAATTCACACGAAGAGGCACTTGAGTGGCATGTTAGAAAATGATCTTTGGTAAAGGCAAAATGAAAAACCTGCTTCATTTAGTTACAATGAAAATATTTTAACTTACTGAAATGGAATGTTTCTCAACATAAAGATGTTTTTCAAATAAGCCATAAAATGGTAAATGCTATGGCTATAAACCTCTGCCTGTTTTTTTCCTGTTTGCCATTTAGAGTCTCTTTGTAGTAGATGATGATAGAAAGCTTTCACATTCAGAGCTGGTCATTTTCATTCGTTTTAACTTATTTTGAGGGGCAAAAAACCCTGTATCTGATCTCAGTAGTAGTTGCACAGCTGTATGGTATTGTTATTCAAATCCACAAATTAACTAAATGTTTTATTATATAGATGACAAATTACTAATGTCCAGGGCTTTCCAGAACCATTTTTTTCCAGTATTCCTTTAAACTATAGTAGGATTTTTGTATCCAACCCAATTTAATTGTCAAAAAAAAATGCTTGAAAAGTCCAGGGTTTTAATGTCTTCTGAATCTGTTGCTTTTGAAATTAGGCATTTCTGTTAAGTACTGAACATTTATTGATGGTATTGTTCAATAGAAAAAAAGAACTAAATGTAACAAAGGAACTGACTGAATATAAAAAATTTGATACTTCACTGTACATCTTAATTTTAAAACATGAATCTGTCCTTTTATGTTATAGTCAAAGATGCAGGCATCTCTAATATATTTGTCACAGTAAATTTGAAAGTCACAAGTAGTCAAAAGATTTGAAAATCACTTCAAGGGGAACACAACATTTGAAAGTTATTATAGCTAGTCAATAACGTTTGAAAAACATTTAAAGTGGTTGGTTTATAGATATTGTATTTACTATGATGGCTTAATTGATCAAAAATAGTTGGTAACTACTATTCCATCAACTGTAATTGAAAATAATTGGTAACTGTACAAAAATAAAAACAGATCTTGAATTTTACATTTGGAAACTTGCTTTTAAATGGTGTTTAATTAAATCAAAGTTTCTATGGTTGCATGTGTATTTTTTAACTCATACCATTTGATCCACGAAAGTGCAGTGGGTGGTATGGCTGGAAGCTAACGGGGGGTGGCTCAGGTATTACATAAATAGGGTACCTTGCCTCAGCTGCAAAGTACGGAGCAGGCTGATAAAAGCAAGTTACCTTTTGTGTATTGGGTAGAATATTTAGTTCTCCAAGTACTTTCAAAGCCATCATGGTGATCAGGTGGAGAATCTGTCTTCTTTCATAACTCATGAGGCAAACAGTGCTTTCATTCACAACTCCATGCAAGGTCATAAGGTAGTCATACTTGGTCATTCCTTCACCTATGAAATGGTTGTGGAGGTATGATTCAATTTTCTTTTGCTGTTCTTCTATATGAGGAAAATCAATAAAGAATCTAGAGCACATATAACGTTCTAGGTTTTTGATTTCTGACATACAGGCTGGCTTGAAGCCATGAACCAGCAAGCTGCAGTACTTCAGAAGGCCACCACCTCTAATCTCTTCAGGTTTCCTGGTACATATGAGCTTGTGTTGCAAATGTGTCATTGCTTCCTGGAAGTCTCCATACATGCTTTCAGCTACCACAACAGGATAGGATTCTTTGGTTAGCTTGGCATTTTTGTCACTGTAGAAGTCTAACATGGGATCCAAAACAATTTGAAAGGAATCTACACTAAATTCAAACTGCCGTCTGAGTGAACTCACAAATTTTAGTTCTAAATTCTTCCCAGTGTTATTTGAAAGGGAGATAAGACTCCAACAATCATGCCCATTGCAAACCTTGACCAATTTCTGTACGTAAGCGTCTTTCATGATATCTGGGGAGAGCTTTTCCTTCTTTACATCTTTTGGTAAAAAGTCAAGTAGACAGTCTAGAACTGCATCTTTAACAACCTGAAATTCTTCGTTACCTGGAAGCTCAACACCAAAAATAACGTCCAGATCCTTATAGCTGATTCCATTGTGGCTTGCAAGTATGTAACTTGCTACGGAACCATTCAATCTGGCATCTTTAACAATAATTCCTTGCCCTATGAGTTGATCTTTCACAACATGAATGATGTCTTTTGGTTTTACCTCCATTGTGGGGAAATTCCCCTTTCCATGAATTGGAATTACTTCATCTAACACTTGATCCAGTGTTATAACTTGATCCCAAGTGAGATTGGTGAATCTGATTTCAGACATTGTGAAGTCAGTAGATCACTAGACAGCAAACAAAATATTGGGAAGAAATATGTTAGCACCTTAAAACCAATGCTAAAGCATATGAAAAAGTTAAAAATAGACTTACCCTCAACATAAACCATGATAATACTAGGGAGGAAATTACCAATATATTTAATCATGTTTAAATATAAAAGTGAAATAAAAGCCACAATTATTATGTCAAAGATGTTAGATACATTGATGAATGCAAACAGATTTCTCAGGAATTTTCTGGAGTTGTAATGACTGTTGATATAAAATGGTAGCCTTTTTTAATCTTGCTTCATGTAAATACTATAATGATGGTATTTCTTTGGTGATATAAATTTTGTTCATGGGATAACCATAATGTATCATTGAGATTAATTATCATGATTGTAAAGTGAGACCAGATAACATGTCTCTGTGTTAGAACCAATGGACTCAATGGCATAGTGTTTACAAACAATATATATAATCTTTAATCCCAAAAGCATCAGATCACTCTCTCATATACTTTTCAGTTTCTCATATATAACTGCTCTTACTTAAAAGAATATTACTGAAGTCTTCTGTTAGAGTATGAGCTCCTTTAATTCCTTAATAAGGAAAGTACCTAATTTATCACCTCTTCTATGTGCCCAGTAGCCCTTTAAAAAATGTTAGTTGAAGGAATGTCAATTTAAAATGAAAAACAGATGAGACTACTAAATTTGTACCTGAAATGAGAATAAGAATATATAAACTCATAAGATTCCTAAGCTTTAAAAAATGTTCACTGCAGATTTGCAATATAATATGCTCAGATAATTTTATAGTTTAGGGAATGTTAGGAAGTTAACATTTTATAATATATTGTAACACTATAAATGCAAGTAGATACAATTATGTTGTTATGTACAATCACAGTGATTACATGGATCTTCAAGTACGCTAATAAGTTGTCTAAACAAATAAATCTAGGAAAGTAAATAACATTCAACATGGACATAGTTTTGGGGTTAGGCATTTGTTCCTGACTTCCAGAAATAAAAAACAATATGAAGCCTAAGATTTGTGTGGACAGTATTCATATTTTGCCTATCTAAGGAGCTATCAAAACAGAATATAAATATTTGAAATTTAGTATTATGTATTTCCCTAGTAGAACTAGAGCAAACATAATCATCTTATTTGACATCTACGTGGACTACTTTGATAGTCCATGCATTTTGCAAAAGGCCTATTAAGCAACAGCATATCTGTGTTAGTGAGAAGGAAAAATTAAACCTATTCTGTTTCTCTGTATGTAATCCCTAGAAATATGAACTACAGACTGAATATTTATTTTTATTATATGATGAAATGACCCATGAAATAGGATGCTTGTTTTAAGCCACTTTAATGACTAATGTTTATACAGTTTGATCAGCTACGTGAATATCCAAATCGATCCTTAAAGATGGATGGACCAAACTGATTACATATCAGGCTTTCAGAATTTGGTAATTTATCTATCGAATGAAATGATCTATATAGCATCTTTAGGACACTGGAAAGAGCAAGATGCTACATGAAGTGATACAACATGCAATGAGAACTGGTAATCTTATTTTCTAGTTCCTTCTGAAATTATCACTGAATTATTAGAAGCTAACAGTTTGTTATGCTCAAATTCTCAATCTAGAAAAGGAATAGTTCATAACACTGGCTGGCTTCATGTAAAGGTTTTAGGAAGAAAAACAATTTACCTAATAAATATTTTTTAAATATCACATATAAACTGTTAAGATTTTAATTTATGATACAGCAAAAGTTCTAAAATTCCTTCTTCATGTGCAAATTTGTTTTGCAAATATATATTTTCCTTTCCTTAATGGCAAATTTCCATTGTCAATATCAGTAAAAATTTTAAAAAATTCAATGGTCTAATCCTAGGCCTACAGTCTCCATGTAAATCATCTATGATCTGAAAATAAAGGAAAACATTTATCTTGCTATATTGACATTACTGAAATTACGAAATTCTTTCCCAAACAAAAGTTGACAGGACACTTATATACAAATAAAACCATCCAGAGACTTAACTAAAAAAAAATTGCCAAAATGCAGAAGTCCTTGATCAAGAGATATCCTTCAAACCAAGAAATTGGAAGCCCTACTTAATATCTTGGATCTGCTCCTAGATATCAGAGAAGGGAGAAGATAGGATTTTGTTTACCAAACAGAATGGCAGTAAGATCTTGCAAAGATAAGAAAGTGGTCCAAAATTTAACTTCACTTTATACCAGGAAAGTGGTGTAGAAAAACTGTCCATCAGTATGCAACTTTCCAATTGCCACTTAATTATCTATGCTAGTGATTTCCAAACATTCTAGTCTTTTCAATTACCTACAAGCTTTAAACACACACACATAAAATAGTTTAGGCCTAGTATTTCATAATAATTACAGAAACAGTGATGACAACTTGCCAGGATGTGGAGAAACGGTGTCCTTGCGTGAGCAACACATTATTCAATTGTCTAAATCAAGGCTTTAATAACCAGTTAGGTTTTTTTTAACCTTTCTCTAGCCATAACTATGAAAGCTTGTTTTTGGAATCAAGTCTATTTTATTCCATATCATTACTAACTGACAAATTCTGAGTTACCATGTCACTAACTACCTCTACTGTTACATAAGAAAATGAAAATTACAAATTTTTAAAATTAGCCCTAGAAAAAAGCGTTAATTATGATAAAAATTTGTGATACATATATACTCAAACATATATATGTATACATATAGACATATATAAGCACAAAATATAATAAAATACATGTCACAATGGAGTAAATATAAGTGATTTGTACTGATCTGGAATCTATACATGCCTCCAAAAATGCTGACCTCTATTAACATGAATAATCAAGATTTGACAATAATGTTATGCTCCTTTTGGCACAGCTACTGTTCATTTTCACATAATGTACAATATCAATGCAGTGTTATTAGTACAAATTTCAAATATGGCATTAAAGTAATAGGACTTATCTTAATGTGTAGATTATGGCTCCATACTTAACCGCATATAGTAGAGTTAATCACCCATATATCAAAAACAGCACATCAGAAAACTTGTTGGGAAACTTAATTTGAATTTTCTGAAGCAAAAAGTATGGCTAAATAGAAACTTTGGATGAATGTCATGGTAAAGGTGGAAAAACTGCAACAAAGCCACCCATATTGCTTATAATACTGTCTTGGGTACAATCCAACTTTTATTTACTGAAAGTGTGTTTATTGAGTATGAATTATAAAGCTACATTTTCATAAGTTAAAATTCCAAATTCAAGGCAGAAACTCTTCAATAATTTTCCACATAAACCTCAATAGAAGCACAAAACATGAAATTTCTAATTATCGTTTTCAAAATGTGGAGATCAGCAGTAGTTCACATTGCAGAATATTTAAATCTTGTTTGGCTCCCTGTCTTCTCCCAATATACTTATCCTTTAAGCTAACATTTTTCCCATCTAGCCTAACCTATTAGTATGCCTGTAATGTATCTGACTACAGTAAATGCCAAAATCAATGCAAAGTGGTTTCCATTATTCAACTGGTTAAATTCATCTGGGAATGCAAAGCAAAGCAAGCAATTTGTCAAGATATCACAAAAGACTATGAATGGATATTTGTATAATAAAGAAAATGTAATTGTTCTCCCTATTACAACTCTATGTTCCCTTTGACGATGGGAAACATAAGAAGTTAGCCACTCTTTACCTGTCTATATTAATATTAGAACTATATTTTCAAAGACAGTGAGAAAAGACATCATACTTACATTGAAAGGATTGCTTTCAAGAATGCAATATAGTTGAGTTAAAATGATTATTCAGTAGATCCTTCAGTGAAGATAGTAATTTTCATATTATCACTGAATAAAGTAATACACCAACCAGAAAAACTGCAAGATAATAAAAGCAAAAATAAAGTTCTTTAATAGATATTATATACAAATAATATAATGATGCCCCATGGCCGACAGTCCTGAAAATTATATACATACATACATACATACATACATACACACACAGACGCATACATACACACAGAAGAAATGATGAAATGATTGCTCTAAAATAGTGGTTCTCAAAGTTTAACATGCATTAGAATTACACAGATGGTTAGTAACTCTAATGCATGTTAAAATTTGACAACCACTATTTTAGAGCAATCATTTTATCTGTGTGTAAACACACAGATTTCTGGGTCCCACCTCCAGAGTTTCTAATTTAGCAGGTCAGATGTGGGGCCAGAATATCTTCATTTCTAATAACTTCCAAGATGATGCTAATGCTGCTGGTCAGGGAATGACACTTTAAGAACTGCTACACTGAAGAAAACTGAGAAGAAACGGTAAAGGAAAAGTAGTCTCAATAGCAGTTCCTAGTCCCTCATATTTTGGCTATTTCCACTTAATTTAAAACATTACATTAAATAATACAGAAAATTCTAATCAAAGTGAATGCTCTTTTAAGCCATAAACTTTTGAAAACATTTCAGCAGTGCAATATTGTTTTCTGAGCTGGACATTAAGGCCAGTAGAAAGTCTTTCTAAAGCTTGTATTGTGGTCCTAAATCTAATTAGTTCCCTTACCTATAATAAATGATTGTATATAAAAATGAATTCCTGTACTTTAGAAACTTTCAAGTTATATATCCATATATACGTACCTATAGACAAACAAACAACAAGATTTTGGTCTGAATGTATTATATTTTACCAGTCTAAAGAAGTATTAAACATGATTTGACTATTGGAAAGAGGTATTAGATATTTTATTTGACACATTGCATTTGTTTCCAAGAGAGAATATTAATGTCTGTGAGAAATAACAGTTCAGTATTTAATTAAACAATGATTTACTCATAATCAACCATTATCCCTTTAAAATACAGATACCTATTTCAGAAAAAAATAGTATTTTCTTATATCAAGAAGAAAAGATTATGCTTATCAAATAATATCAATTTGGTGTTTCCATACTGTGTTCAATAAGATCGTAGAATACCCTGAATAGTATACTTCAATAAAAAAACTATAAAATAAAGTGTTAATCATCTCACGGAAGTGTCTTGCATTGTTTTCACTCAGTCAAAAGTAAAACCTGTAGTATTACTTTAACCCAAAAGAAAACTACCATTGGTATTTTACTCATTCAATACTGAAAGGAACAACAGTAAATAAAATACTGATTTTGATACTTGTGGACCAATAAGCCAGGCAAGGTCAGAAAGATCCCTCACCCAGTCATTAACTTTGTGTCTGGCTCCATGATGAAAAATGTAAGATGTCTACTGTTTTGTCATTTTGCTCTTCAAAAATAAAGTTGTGATATCAGTTAACTAGTTGGGTGCTCAAATCATATTCTTTTAATAATTGTTGGGAAATATAGAGGGAGCTGTAAAAGGAATAAAGCATTAAAATAGCTATGTAGCAATAAGAGAAATCCTTTTAATCAAATCATCTTGACAGTGAAATTTGCTTTTCTTTTCAACTATCAACACTGCAGATAATTTTTTTGCTTGTTTATTGTGCTAACCCAAAGCAAAAAGATACCAAATATAGTAAAAGCAGTAAAAAGGAAAGCAAGTGAGTTGTTTTTAATGGGACAAAAGTGATCTCTGTACCAATAGAGAGCCCTAGTGCTTTAGTTGCCTAATTATAGAGAAAGCTAATTAAAAGTAGAAGTGTGTTTCCAATAGTCCTTATTGTATCAATAAGAATGAGACTGATAAAGAAAATGTGGCACATATACACCATGGAATACTATGCAGCCATAAAAAAGGATGAGTTCATGTCCTTTGCAGGGACATGGATGAAGCTGGAAACCATCATTCTCAGCAAACTAACACAGGAACAGAAAGCCAAACACCGCAGGTTCTCACTCATAAGTGGGAGTTGAACAGTGAGAACACATGGACACAGGGAGGGGAACATCACACACCGGGACCTATCGGGGTTGGGGGGCTAGGGGAGGAATAGCATTAGGAGAAGTACCTAATGTAGATGACGGGTTGATGGGTGCAGCAAACCACCATGGCACGTGTATACCTATGTAACAAACCTGCACGTCCTGCACATGTATCCCAGAACTTAAAGTATAATAATAATAAAAAAGAATGAGATTGAAAACAAATGCACTTTTAATATACTTTGCCTTGAAAAAGTCATTGATATTTTGCAGTTTTCTCTATACATCAAAGAGTTCCCTAATTTTCCCAGATATCTTGAATCTACAATAATTATACATATTTTCTTTTCTGAATGTCTACTATATTTAGTAGACATTCAGATAAGATATTCAGATATTCTATTTAGTAGATACCCATATAACCTTAAAGTAATTCTTAGAATAGCCACCAAATCAGAATATATGCCCATTTAAAGGGAGATATTATTCCACAGAATAGTTTAGATTATAGGCTATGGAAAACTAGTAGTAGAGTGTAAAAAAATAGAGGTACATATACTGAAAGTTGACCTCATGTTGTTCACCCCATCTTTAAATGAAGATTCCTAGTTGCAACACCTTAAGGCAGATACTTTATCTATGGTTGTAACACTAATTTATTCCTGTAATAGCTAAAGCTTTAAAATGTGTTTGAAATAAAATGGAAATTAAGAAATTGTAAAGAGCCAGTTTTTACTTTCAATTAGATTCACTAGTTTTTTGTTCCACTAACATCTAGATAAGTTTTGCTTACAAAAGAAAGAACTAAATATGTGTTTAGAGTCCAACTGTAGATGCAAAATATTTAAAGGAACTTTGTTCTCAATAAGAAGTAGTATTAACATTAAGCTCTGTAGACAACCTATGAAGGTCCTTTTATAAATACCATAATCAGAATGTGTTTATCAGTTGTTCTAAATGGGCAGCTATTTTATAATCTGTTCAAAATAGATACCTTGGGTAAAATTTGTTGACTGACTTCAATAATGTGTTAGTCTGTCCCTCTTTGAGGACTTCTGTATTAGTACATTACATTAAAAATAATTACAAAGCAATCTTGAAACATATTTCAGGTTAAAATCTGGCAAAGGATGAAAGTTTTCAATCAAAAAGTGTAACAATTTAAATGAAAACGGTTTTACATGTTTCCAGTGTTTTTATCTAGGTAAAAAGTATAATATTTAGTTTATCTCTGTATTGTTGAATTTGGAATTGTAATCTAGATGTGTGATATTTTAACAGCCAAACACAACAGATTTAAATAAGCATGAGGAAGTCATAGTAAGATTAAGCTGTTTGCATGCATATATTAAACTTTTATTATTGTGTAATTATGATTTTTATATAATTGACTGTAGTGCTTGAATTGCAGAACAATACTTACATCACAAAATACTGTATCATTTATGCTGTAATACATTGTGGATGTTAACACTGTTGATGTTATGAGTCTATAGCATTCAAAGTTTCAGAAGGGGGCTGGGCGCGGTGGCTCAAGTCTGTAATCCCAGCACTTTGAGAGGCTGAGGCGGGCGGATCATGAGGTCAGGAGATCGAGACTATCCTGGCTAACACAGTGAAACCCCATCTCTACTAAAAATACAAAAAAATTAGCTGGGCATGGTGGCGGATGCCTGTAGTCTCAGCTACTCAGGAGGCTGAGGCAGGAGAATGGTATGAACCTGGGAGGTGGAGCTTGCAGTGAGCCGAGATCGTGTCATGGCACTCCAGCCTAGGCGACAAAGAGAGACTCCGTCTCAAAAAAAAAAAAAAAACAAAGAAAAAAACGAAGTTTCAGAAGAGAGTTCTCAATAACTGTTCACTTATAGTATTAGTCATTTTCAAATTTCCTTCCAAAAAATGACTCACATTACTATAGATAATGCTAAAACAGCTCCAATTTGGGTCAATTCACAAACTCATTTTAGTTGCAATAAGGTTCATATACCAAAACAACATTTGCAAAAATTCACTTGTCCAGGATTCTACTAATGAATGTGGTCATTTCCAAAATTTATAGCCACTCACAAACGTACCTCAGATAATTGTGAAGCTTGAAAAAGAGATGTTTATTTTTAATTCTTCTTAATTAAAAATGTCTTTAATTATATTTAAAATGAAGTTATTTCACACACTTTTAACTACTATATATTGGGTAATGCTCGGACATATATGTAGGCAATCTGTTTCAGGGTTGACCCATGCTGGGAGGAGGAGGGCTTCAATTTATCTTGTACCAAAAGATGATGGGAGTGTTAAAGGTTTTAGTTTCTATTCAGACCTACAAGGAGGCAGGCATATACTTTCCATGTTAGTGCTATTTATATCCTGATCTGTCTTTTTTTTTTTTTTACTTTATGATCATCTCTTTTAAAATACTATGCTTAGCTCCATTTCCCTTTTTTTTTTGTTTTGTTTTTTTTGAGACAGAGTCTCACTCTGTCACCCAGGCTGGAGTGCAGTGGTACGATCTTGGCTCACTGTGACCTCCACCTCCCAGGTTCAAGCGATTCTCCTGCCTCAGCCTCCTGGGTAGCTGGGATTACAGGCGCCTGCCACCACGCCTGGCTAATTTTTTTTTATTTTTAGTAGAGATGGGGTTTCACCATGTTGGCCAGGCTGATCTCAGACTCCTGACCTCAAGTGATCCATCTGCCTCGGCCTCCAAAAGTGCTGGGATTAGAGGCATGAGCCACCATGCCTGGCCTCCATTTCCCATTTTAAGAGTCAAAGTGTTCTTACTGACTGAGATTTATGCAAATTCCCAGTTTCCTGTCATTTGATGTATAGGGAAATAACTTCTTGAAATTCTTATATGTAGGTGGAACCATACTAAAAGATCCTTGACTTAAGAGGCTTAGGTGAAAGGTTCATTGGAACAATTAAGATAAACATGCTAGGCACCTATAAACACGAAGAGAAAATAGCATACAAGTCCCAAAAAGTTCTCAATTTAAAAGCTTGGTGCTCATAAGCTTTCCCCAGGCTAAACTTCTGCCCCTAATCCCAGAGAAATCTTACCACATGCTTTTCACTCGGCCCTAAACCAGATAAATACAATTCTTGCTGTGTTCACTTGTTTGTGTTGCTATGGCTGTTGTCTATTGCTTCTAAGGATAAAAGTGTACACTGTTCTAAGTAAATCATTGCCTGATTTCTTTCAGGTTTAGCACCATTCCCTTGTAGTGTGGCAGTAAGAGAGAAAAGTTAGGCAGTGAAAAATCAGGCTGCAGGCACAGATAAGAAAACTTGCACAAACCTCTGGCCCACTCAGATGAAGGAACAAGGCCCTCCATAGAAATGCCTTTGTTCTTTGTGCCTAAGATATGCCCACAGCCACTTTAATAAGGGAACAAGGCTCAGCATAGAAATGCTTTTGTCCTTTGTATAACCAGCAGGCTTCAAGGAAATAGTCTCTTCCCCTTTTGTGGGCATGTACATGGTGGGTTCTTGTGGGCACTTCCGTTTCCTTTTCTGGACAAGCTTTGGACTGTGAGCCCAGTCTCTATGAATCATCAGTTCAGCTCCTGATGGTCCCAGGGCCAAGCTTTCACTTCAGCTCCTGATAGGTCCAGGCCAAGCTAAGTAGCCCCTATGAATCACCACTTCAGCTCCTGATTGGTCCTGGACCAAGGTCCCAGGCCAAACTTAATCACACTTTCTGTAAGAAAGCCTACAGACTAAGCATAGTCCTTCCCTTCCCAGTCCATAAAAACCCCGGACCCCAACCTCATGGTGGGCAACCAATTTGGGCACCCCTCTCTGCTGCAGAGAGCTTTCTTCTTTCACTTATTAAACTTTTGCTCCAATCTCACCCTTGTTTCTGCGCTCCTTAATTCTCCTGGACATGAGACAAAGAACTCCATGTTCTATCTCAGACAATGAGATACTGCTACATATTTTGGTGCACTGGCAAAAATACAACATATTTTGTTGCATTGGCTGGGAAGAAAGGAATTCATCTAAAGGATGAGTAAGAGCAGAACATTAACTCTTTACTTTCATTTCCAAGGCTTCTTGTCTTAAGTTTTCTTCTCTCAAGAGCAAACAAAAACAGTGGGTTCCTTTCGGCCAGTTAAAAACGAATAGTGTGACTGCCAGACTTAAAGACTCAGGGGAAAGGCTTGCTGGAGAGAACTTTTTCAATCCCCCTTTGCCCTCACGTGTTGAAAATGTTGACTTTGTTCCAATCCAGTTTCCTTTCACAAAGGACCTAGCTGTCACGTGAGGCCGGAAGGAGGTCCTGGGGCAACTGAAGGTATCTGGCTGAGGCTACACTTCAGTGTTACCTGGGGGCCCTTGGACTAACTCCAGTCACCAACAGCCCATTAGAGAATTGGCAAAAGGACTTCCAGTCTTTTTCTATCACATTTTCCTTCTTTTTTTGTTTTTTGCAACTATCATGTTTCCTATCCCTGCTTTGTATGCAATGTTGTGGGTGTTTTTGCAACCTGGGGATATAGTCTTACTGGGCAAAGTCAGCTGGAGCCTTAGGAATGTAATTCAACGAATTATTGTCTCTGTGGTTTCCTTAAAATGGGGGATTCCAAGATCTGAATCTATTCAGAAAACCTATTTATCTGAAAACCTATTTATCTCCCAACAATAGCACTCAATGGAGTTAAACAGGGAGTTATTTCTCCCCAAGCAACTATCCCCTCCTTCATTTAAGCTGTTCCTTTTCCCATGTGAGAAGCCAGCACTTCCCAGCAGAACTAAAATACTTTTCTATGAAAAAGTTGATATGGTGTGGCTATGTCCCTACTCAAATCTCATCTTGAATTCCCATGTGTTGTGGGAGGGAACTGGTGGGAGGTAACTGATTCATGGGGGAAGTCTTTCCTGTGCTGGCCTCATGATAATGAGTCTCATGAGATCTGATGGTTTTAAAAAGAGTGTTTCCCTGCACAAGTTTGCCTTTTGCCATCCATGTAAGACATGACTTGCTCCTCCTTGCCTTCCAACATGATTGTCAGGTGTCCCAGCCTCTTCCTTTTGTAAATTGTCCAGTCTCAGGTATGTCTTTAACAGCAGCATGAAAACAGACTAATACACAATTTTCTTCTGCTGGGAGGCATACTTTAAGACAGCCTATCAAGCCCTAAAACTCTCTTTCTAACTTTTGTCTAAAAAGAATTTGGAGTCAGTTTTTACCTAACATTTCAGACCTTACAGCGCCATCTAGTGGGATGGAATTTTTCTCCTTGGGGAGCCTTGTCAGCTCTTTGCCCCAAATTTCTAGTTCCCCCAATTTTTTCTCTCTTACATCCCTCTATCAGTGATCAGGCCCCATACCCTATTTGTAGTCAGAAAAACTCCACTTTCAATAGCCAGGAGGAAGCCATCCCGGTAAGACAGATTCCAGCCTTGGTACTGTCCCCATCAAAGGAAAAACAGCCATTCAATCTTTGTATTCTTTTAAGGCACATGCTCTGAATGTAACTACATTGACATTTAAACAACAATGGGATTTTATATTTGGAAGTCAATTGGTGTCATTCTCTGGAATTCTAATGTTTCACTGGGGCCATAGGAAGGGAAGCCAGAGATAGTATTAAAACACTCCCTCTGTTAAAGAGTCTTGCCCAAATCCAACTACTACATAATCTCTCCCAGGCCCCTAGGGTATCTTGGGAGCCCTATGGGCCAAGTGTGTCTAGGAAACCAGCAAGATGGAGGGCTAGGGTCACTCTGGGTCACTCAGAAAAGAGAAAGGAGACATCTTTCCCCCGCCTCTTTTCTAGTTGGGTAACAAACCATCTGCAGTCTGTATTCCTCTTGAGTGCATTCTAAAACACTGGAACTCCTTTGACCCTAGGACTCAAAAGAAAAAAAATGGCATATATTCTGTTGTACAAGTGCATGGCCATCTTACCAACTTCAGGAGGGACAGAAGGCCTGGCCTCCTCAGGAAAGTGTTAATTTCAATACTATCCAACAACTAAATCTTTTCTGCAGACTGGAGGGCAAATGGTCTGAGGTTCCCTATGTACAAGCTTTCTTTGCCTTGCAAGATAACCCAGATCTTTATAAGCATTGTAAAATTAATCCTGCCCTTCTTGGCAGTCATATCAGCCAAGCCTACAAAAAATAACTCCCCAAAGTCAGAAAAACAAACCCCTGGGGAACTCTCAAATGCAACTTCTAAATGCCCTACCTTTCCCCCTTATCCAGGGCTCCCAGCAGTCATATCATCGGCTCCTCTGGCTGTAACACCCAAGAAACCCCTAATTTCGCTGTTGCTTCTGTAGGAAATGACCAATGGACATGGTACTATTAGGGTTCAAATTCCCTTCTCATTGCAGAACCTTAAACAAATAAAGGGTGTCCTAGGCAAGTTTTCTAATGACCCCAATAAATATATAAAGGCTTTCCAAAATCTAACCCAAGTGTTTAATCTTGCATGGGGAAATGTTTTTTTACTCCTAGCCAAATCCTAATGGCTGCCAAAAAGCAGGCAGCCCTACAGGCAGCAGAGAGATTCAGAGACAAACACCATGTCTCCTATAGCCAGTCAACAGAGAAACCCAGTCAAAAAGGGAAAGACGGTGAAGAAAAAAAAAAAAGCAGGATCCCCATTCCCAATAGAATGCAAAGAACCAGAACCAAACATCTTAATTACTCTAAACTGTCTTTGTTAAATCAAAAACCAGATGGCCTTTTTAAAAAGGCTGAGAGAAGCTTTAGTGAAACACACCTCCCTATCTCGTAATTCAATTGAGGGACAGATAATCTTAAAAGATGTATTTATTACTCAGGAAGCCCCTGGTATCAAAAGGAAACTACAAAAGCAGGCTATGGGACCAAAGGGTACCTTATAAAAACCTCCTGAAGACAGCCTCCTTGGTCTTTTACAAGAGAAACCAGGAGGAGGAGGCCCAGGAAAAAGAGGGGAAGCACAAGAAAAGAACAGAAGCAGTAGTGGCCACTTCACAGGCCTATAAAATCCAGAGTCCTGGCTGGGTGCAGTGGCTCACGCCTGTAATCCCAGCACTTTGGGAGGCCGAGGCAGGAGGATCACTTGAGGTCAGGAGTTTGAGACCAGCCTGGCCAACATGGTGAAACCCTGTCTCTACTAAAAAAAAAAAAATTAGCTGGGCGTGGTGGCAGGGACCTGTAATCCCAGCTACTCGGGAGGCTGAGACAGGAGAATTGCTTGAACCCAGGACGTGGAGGTTTCAATGAGCCGAGATTGTGCCACTGCATTTCAGCCTGGGCGACAAAACAAGACTCTGTCTCAAAAAATAAACAAACAACAACAACAACAAAAATCCAGAGTCCCCTGGTGCACCTGCTAATTGCTATCAGTATGGCAAGCCAGAACACTTCAAAAGGGAGTGCCCAGGCAATAAAAAAGCCACCTCAACCCTGTCCAGCTTGTGGTGGGGACCACTAAAAGGCAGAATGTCTCCAGAGGTGCAAGTCACCAGGTCCAGGGCCTGTCTCACAAATGATCCAGCAGGACTAATGGGTCCTGAGGCTCAACCCCCCGGCTCCATCAACTCAGACTGCCATTATGACTCAGGGGCCCTGGGTAATTCTGGAGGTAAAAGGGAGGAAGGTAAACTTCCTTCTAAACACTGAAGCTGGTCTTTCTGTTCTCCTCCCCAGTCCAGGCCTCCCTTCCTCCCACTGCACAATCGTGAAGGGCTTCTCTAGAAGGCACTAAAAGCTCTTCATAATTTCTTAGCTAAAAGGGAATATAGGGTCTCAAAATCTAAAGCTCAGCTCTGTCAGACTTCAGTAAAGTATGTAAGTCAGCCTTATCAAAAGTGATGAGAGCACCAGGTGAGAAAAGGATTAAGCCCATTTACTTTAACAGTTAAGAGGATTCTTAGGCATTAATGAATTTTGCAGACTGTGGGTACCTGGGTACAGTGGAATAGCTCACCCTTTATACCACCTCATAAAAGAAACTCGAGCAGATAAAACTCACTCCCTAACTTAAGAACGTAAAACTCAAAAGCCTTTAAACAATTAAAGCAAGCCTTGCTTGAAAGCAGCAGCTTTCTTCAGTCTTCCCATAAGGAAGGCATTTAATCTCTATGTATCAGAAAGCAAGGGAATAACCCTGGAAGTTTTAACTAAGGCTCAAGGTGCAGCTCAACAATCAGTGGGTTACCTAAGCAAGGAATTTAACTTAATGGCTAAAGGATGGCCAGCCTGCCTCTAAGAAGTTGCAGTGGTGGCTTTGCAGGTGCCAGAAGCCAACAGGTTAACCATGGGGAATAACTTAACTGTTTACACCCCACACAATATAGCAAGACTGCTGTCCTCTAGGGAAAGTCTCTGGCTAACAGACAATCACCTCCTCAAATATCAAGCTTTGCTGCTAGAGTGATCTGCAGTCCACCTAAAAAACTCCCCGTCTGAATGCAGCCACTTTCTTCCAGAGAAAACTAGAAAACCTGAACATTATTGTGAACAGATAGTGGTATAAACTGATAAAAGAAATAGTAAGAATCACTGTTTATACTCTCTGTAGTTTTAATTAATAAAAAATAATTTTCTTAAAAAGTGCTCAGCTTAATTAAAAGTGGATATTTAAGTTATAGGTATATTTTTAAAGCCTTTATGTTTTTCTCTTCATAAATTTGTTTTTCTGGAAAACGTTTTTTCTCAGTCAACTAAATTATTTTCCTCCAATCTGTCTTGCCACTCTTGGTGCATGCATAAAAGGCCCTAGGATAACTTCTGGTAACCCAGGACTCCTTGAGAAAACCGAAAAGTCACCACAAATCCCATTTTGGGAAAAATATCTGTTTTCCTCATTAAACCCCTGAAATTAGAGGCAAATAAATACCTCTCAAAATCTATTTTCGCCTTCCAGGTATGCTTGTTTGTCAGGCCACAGAAACTACATACTTTCTGAGCCCTATTCTTAAATGGTTCCACCCTAAGCTGCTGGATTTTCTTCTGCCTGTCTGTGTAGTTATACATGTGTTGTGTGTGTAATGTCTATTTAAGAAGAGCTCTAATTAATTAACTTGAAAAAGGATAAGCCCTTGGATCAAATATTTTTTAAAGGGAAAAATAAAAGCTCTGGTACCTTTCAGTTCATGTGACTTTAATCTTTAAAAAATAAAAACAGCCTTAAAGATTATTGGTAAAATGCAAATGTCTTAAAAATATAAATAGGTAGTCTAAATTATGCAAGTCACATAGTAGGTTTGCTAAATGTTTTAAGGTTTTAAACTGCTTCTTTGGCCTTTAAAAACTGTTCAACTTGCCTGCTTCACAATGGGTAAGGTCTGGGGACATATGAAAGTAACCATATGCCTCTAATTATGCTGAAAAACATCAAACTTTATCTGCACCTAGTATATAATTATAACAACTTACCAAGTTTTACATTGAAGTTAAAAATTGCTAAGAGTTACCATTATAACATGTAATTAAGTCTACTGTATTAGTCTGTTTTCATGCTTCTGATAAAGGCATACCTGAGATTGAGAAGAAAAAGAGGTTTAATTGGACTTACAGTGCCACATGTCTGGGAAGGCCTCAGGATCATGGTGGGAGGCGAAAGGCACTTCTTACATGGTGGCAGCAAGAGAAAATGAGAAAGAAGCAAAAGTGGAAACCCCTGATAAACCCATCAGATCTCGTGAGACTCATTCACTATCATGAGAATAGCACAGGAAAGACCAGCCCCCATGATTCAGTTACCTCTCCCTGGGTCACTTCCACAACATGTGGAAATTCTGGGAGATACAAGTCAAGTTGAAATTTGGGTGGGGACACAGACAAACCATATCAACTACTGAAAATGGATTTACGTGCAAGGCGTGTGAAAACAGTAAAATGTGTTTTTACTAAAAAATTGTAAGAAGGCATGGAAATGTACATTTTGCCTAGGGATAAAGAATTTTCTTAAATAAAATAAAGCAGAAGATTTAAGCAAACTGTGGAAAAACTGTATGAATTAATCTTACCATGAAAACTCTGTATATACATGTTAACTAAATTCAAAGGAGTATTACATAGATTTTTCTTTAAGTTAAGCATTAAAATAAAAGCACAACAAGGTTTTCTTTTCAGTAAAATTTGTAAAGGGTTATAAAAGGTTTGTAAAAATCTCACTTCATGATCAAACCAGTGAAAATTAAATATAATTGTCCACAAGGTTTCATTAAAAATTGGGGTTAACATTAATAGTAAACTAATGCAAGGGTAAAATTTGGCTTTCTCTCTTGAACAGGATTTTTGTGTAATACTAAAGGCTAATAAAAGGCTTTTGATTTTTCAAATTTTTAAGTCATCATTTTAGAAAAATAAATAACTTATGGTAATCTAAAATTCCATTTCATAATATCAAGTGTTTTAAACCAATAACATATTTAATGGGCTTCCCAAAATAAATAGACTTTCCTAACACCTAGCTTTCGGATGCTACAGCGGGCCCCTAGAGCATCCAGAAAACAGGTAAACAGAATTATTAAAGATGTTTAAATACATGGAATTGCCAAAGTAATGTTTAATCTTCTTCAGGTTATATTTCAGTAAATATTATTATTATTATTATTATTTTTTGAGATGGAGTCTCACTCTGTCGCACAGGCTGGAGTGCAGTGGCGTGATCTTGGCTCACTGCAACCTCTGCCTCCCGGATTCAAGTGATTCTCCTGCCTCAGCCTCCCGAGTAGCTGGAATTACAGGTGCCCACCACCATGCTCAGCTAATTTTTGTATTTTTAGTAGAGACAGGGTTTCACCATATTGGCCAGGCTGGTCTCAAACTCCTGACCTTGTAATCCGCCTACCTCAGCTTCCCAAAGTGCTGGAATTACAGGCATGAGCCACTGTGCCCAGCCTTCAGTAAATATTATTAACATATGTTCTAAAACCATATGGGATGTCTAAAGTTCTAATGTTTAAATATATGCTATCAATTATAATTGAAATTATCTTAAACTGTTGTAAACCACAAAAATAACCAAATTTCTTTGACAATTGTGTTTCTAACTGTAAACACCCTGATCATTTTGTCATTTAAGACAATTGTCTTGTTTTAATCCTCTTCAAAAAATGTTTTAAACTCAGCTGTAAAACTTTAACAGGTGCTTTCAAATGCAGGTATCTAATAATGGAAAAGCATACAGGATTCATAAAAAGCTGAAATGTTTATAAATATCAAGCAAAACAAGAGTTAACTGAATGGACTGAACTCATAAAAAGCTAATATAATCTTTTTAACTTTTGCTTAAAATATTGCTAATCCTTGTTTTTCAGTCAAGAAAACTTATTTTAAACTAGATACAGCCTTTAACAATTAAGTGAGGTATACTCCTGAAAGCAAAATGTAAAACATGTTTGTTTCTCTCTGCCTGGTTCCTCTAAAATTCAGACACTACATGTAAGCATTCTTAACTTCTAACAATATATTGTTTGCATCAGTGCAATAAGAATGCATTTTCTTTTGCAACAGGACAATTTAAAAACTGGTGTTTTGCCAAGGGTTTAACTAAAAGGATGTGTTTCCCTTTAAGAAGTCAAGCTTAACTTGAAAAGCCAAAAAAAGCCCCTTGGAAAAATTGGCCTTATACTTTGTCTACACAGTCCCTGTACAGGGTTCTTAATCTGTGGTGAGTAAAAAAGTCATTTTCTAACAGGCCCAGAACACCATGCTCTTGAAACCTCAGAAAAAAAGGAGTTTACCCAACTCACAGGTATTTAAGGGTGCAAACCCATGGCTGGGCTCAGCTTTAAAAAGTCCTATCTAAGATTCCTTGTAAAACAGAGTTCCATCAAAGCCCATCTAAAAGGCCTATGTAAAGGTAATTATTCTTGCTGCAGTTTCTGTAAATAATCAGGCCAAGTATGAGACTAAAGTCTATTTTGCAAACAACACAATCTTATCATAATTTGTTTTTAACAAAAATGAGGACTGGAGAAAAAATTATGTTTCAAAAGTTATCATACAGCTGTCATTAATTTCTAGTCTCAGTAGTTGTTTTCAAGTTCTTGCCTACCTACATTTTAAACTAACCCTATTTCTGTAAATCAACCAGCAATCTCCAACTACCACTCAAAGGAAACAAAAGGGAATGGGTAATGTAGAAATCGAAAACAATACTCTAGTTCTGGGCAATTATCCCACAAGTCCTGCCAGGTAATAAAAGTAAATAAAGTTCGCATAACCCACAAGTTTCTTTGTTTAAAAAGTAAAACCAAGAAAGCTAACCGAAGCCAAGCCCCATGAACCCAAATCTTAACACGCATAACTAGCCATCACTTAGCCTTGGAATTTTTAAGCTTCTTTACCTCCATCCTTGTTTCATTTTAATACATGTACTCTAATAACCCACATTGTTTCTTCTCATCTAACGGCTATCAAGCTACAAATGGTAATGCAAAAGGAACCATGCATAAACATGCCTTTCTTCCAAGGACCCTTAAGCCAGCCCCAAAAGAAACCCTAGTTGCTGTTCCCCACACAACACCCATCTCCAGCAAAAAGTAGCTAAAAAAAAAAAATCAACGCTTAATCTCCCTAACAGCAGTTAGGGTCTCCACTCCTGAGGGGGAGAATAAGAGAGAAAAGGTGGCAGTTAGGGTGGGCCCTTGGTAAAACTCCTGTAATTGGAGAAACAGCCTGAAAAATCAGGCTGCAGGCACAGATAAGAAAACTTGCACAAACCTCTGGCCCACTCAGATAAAGAAACAAGGCCCAACCTTTGTTCTTTGTGCCTAAGACATGCCTGCAGCCACGGTAATAAGAGAACAAGACTCTGCATAGAAATGTCTTTGTCCTTTGTATAACCAGCAGGCTTCCAGGAAATAGTCTCTTCTCCTTATGTGGGCATGTACATGGGGTGCTCCAGTAGGTTCTGGTGGGCACTTTTTTTTTTTTCTTTTCTAAACATGCTTTAAACCGTAAGCTCGGCCTAAATAAATCATTGCTTCAGCTCCTAATTGGTCCCAGGGCCAAGGTCTTTGGCCAAGCTTTCACTTCAGCTTCTACTAGGTCCTGGGCCAAGCTAGGTAGCCCCAATAAATCATCACTTCAGCTCCTGATTGGTCCCAGACCAAGCTAAATCACACTTTCCTCAAAACAGCCTGCAAACTATGCACATTCCTTCCCATCCCGGTCCATAAAAACCCTGAACCCCGGCCTCATGGTGGGGAACCCCTTTGGGCCCCACTGTCTGCTGCAGAAAGCGTTCTTCTTTTGCTTATTAAACTTTCACTTGAAATTCACCCTTGTGTCCACGCTCCTTAATTCTCTTAAATATAAAAAAAAAACTCTGGATACTATCTCAAACAACAAAATACTGCTACATATTTTGCTTCATTGGGAAAACTACAACAGTAGTACTACTTCCCCTTCCTACTCTTCCTCTGCCCCTTCCAGTGGCTGTAGCTGGTAAAGATTTATAGCTATGTGAATTCAACAGTCACCAAGTGAGCTTCTCTTGCTTCTGATGTAAATGATGCAGAGTTGCTGCCTCTCCAAACTGCCACCAATTTCAGAGAAGCAAGCTGGCCAGAGAAATCTCCAGCCCCTTTTGAAGGGAATCGCTGAGAATACTCTGAAGTACAACAGGCTTTCAAGCAAGCTGGGAGGTAAAGCCACCTAGTGAGACCAAAATGCCATTCTCTCTGCACTGGATGCTGTACAACTCGCCATGACCCTCACAGTAAACCCAGTAACCTCATAAGCTTTATCCACATCATTCCAAATCACTAACCCCTCTGTGGATAACCCTGTCAACACTCAAGGAATTAAGTATTCTCTGAAGGGGACTCCAGAATTATAGCCAACACCATATACATCTTTCACATCCCTCTTAAACACTATCTGAGGAAGGAGAAAAGTAGAAACTCATCCCAATGTTTCTAGAAAAAGCCTTTTACTAACAAAAAAAACCCAAAAAACTTCTGTTCATAGCTCTCCCCGTCTACTCACCGCACCCTCTCAGACATTAAAACTTACCTCACCAACTGCTGCTCTCCTCAAACCCATCCCATCAAGGAGAAAAACTACAGGGGTGTGGTGTTAGCGTGAGGCTCAGGAGGGAGCCTGCTAGTAGGCAAGCAAGAGAAGGGGCCATTAAAGAAAGATAAAATGAAATGCAATTTTTTTTTTGAGACATAGTCTAGCTCTGTTGCCAGGCTGGAGTGTAGTGGCGCGATCTCAGCTCACTGCAATGTCTGCCTACCAGGTTCAAGCGATTCTCCTGCCTCAGCCTCCCGAGTAGCTGGGATTACAGGCATGCGCTGCCATGCCCAGCTAATTTTTGTATTTTTAGTAGAGACGGGGTTTCACCATGTTGGTCAGGATGGTCTTGAACTCCTGACCTCGTGATCCACCCACCTCAGCCCCCCAAAGTGCTGGGATTACAGGCATGAGCCACTGCACCCAGCCATGAAAGGCATTTTTTTAAAGGGAGAGAAATAAAGAAAGAAGGAATCATATGGATTCTACCTACCCTAGGTGGGGTGATCTCTTATTACTTTCCATTCTCCTTCATTGCTGAACTTTCTCCCATGGGATACTACTACCTTTCTCCTTTCCTATACCAAAAACTATTTTCCCTTTTTTTCTTATAAATAATGACTTGCCCCATGAATTCCCAACCTCCCACTCAGTAACCTCCACTTTTTTTCCCACCCCCCGACACACAAATAACTCCTCCTTCTCCTCACATTTCTTCAAGCATTTCCAACACAAATACAAATTTAAGTTCACGCTCAGAAGGCAGTTTTGCTGAAAGACGTGGCATTTTTTTCTAGTCACTTTTTTCCTTAAGTCTCCTTATCATGGGGAAGTCCCCTCCCTCATTTCAACACCTTCTACTCTTAGTTTGGCTACAGATATTCAGGTCCTCATATTTTCTCTCACATCTGCAGTTAATTTTCATAGGAGAAAAAGGGTGAATGATAATGGCATTCTTTAAAGAAACAATTTCAAAATGCAGTCTTTGCTATTTTAAAATACAATTGGCTTAATAAAATCCATTCAGTTTATGATTAATTTGATTATTTTTCTAAACTTTACTTGCATTAAATTGTTCTACTAGAGGAAAATAAGGTAACTTCACTCTTAAGGTACTTAAAAGCTATACAAGTGAGGCCAGGCACGGTGGCTCACGCCTGTAATCCCAACACTTTGGGAGGCCGAGGCGGGTAGATCACGAGGTGAGGAGATCAAGACCATCCTGGCCAACATGGTGAAACCCCGTCTTTACTAAAATACAAAAAAAAATTAGCTGGGTGTGGTGGTGCATGCCTGTAGTCCCAGCTACTCTGGAGGCTGAGGCAGGAGAATCGCTTGAACCTGGGAGGCAGAGATTGCAGTGAGCCGAGATCATGCCACTGCACTCTAGCCTAGTGACAGAGTGAGACCCCATCTAAAAAACAAACAAACAAACAAAAACTATACAAATGAGATAAGACATGAGTGCTTTAAAGGAAAAAAAATAATCTGAAAAGGAAGTTCAGGACTATATAAAAAAAATACAGATATGTAAACATGCTTGATTACCTGACAATAACTTTCTTTCACTGGTATGTAGTAATTAAAAACATTTGATATCAAAAAAGGAATTAGGTATAGTCTTTTAATACTTCACTTCAGAAACAAATTAAAGTTTGAAAATAATCCATCATCAGGCTATTTATTGAGATGTCAATGTGTCAGTCAATTAATGTAGGACGTAGGGAGTTTTGTAACTCTCTTACTCTAGAGTTCTGAAAAAACATAATTCTTAATACTATATCAACGTATCAGTTATGTCTTTTATCTCTTACTCTTGAGCTAGTTCAGAAAATAAAATATTAAAACAATTATTGATGCCCTTTTAAACATATTAACTGAGTTCAGTTTTACCACAGCCATGATTTTGGGCACAGTTATTAATGAAAGAGATAATTTTCAAAGATATTTTAGTTGAATCAAATAAGTTTCTGGACAAAATATAAATTAAACGTCAATTTTGATGTGTGCTCAGAGTTAAAACTAAAAGAAAAACTCCCTTTCTACAAGATTGCTCACCGTGTCTTCTGATAGTAGACTTTGCTGAATTTAACAGTCTTACTCTGAAGACTAACATCCTTTACCAGAGTTCTGCATCACCTGATCTCCACACATTCTCTACACCTCACTTGCTGCAATTCCAGGGTTACTGTTGCCAGGAGACAAGGAATATTATTATTGCATCATTAATGCTCTTATAGATGGGGGAATTTTCAAAAAATAAATTTAAATAGGGCAATTCTGAGTCCCAAATCTCAAAAAAGACAATGTTATACTAGATATATTAAAGATTAAAAACAGGTTCCTCAAGATACTTGAACTTAAGTTAAAAAATAGTGAAGAGGGAGGAAGGAGAAAAAAATAGTGAAAATAACCAGTTAAACCATGCAGATTCACACAGATAGGCAAACATTTTTGTTTTGTAAGTATTGTAACTGCCTACATGTAACTTCAAAATTAAGTTGTAATTTCTGAAATACAGAATTTGGGAAAATATTCTCTATTTAATTTTTACCCCCAAGTGAACATGTTTTTGTTTTAAAAAAAATTCTTAAACAATTAAAAAGAGGCTGGTCATGGTGGCTCATGCCTGTAATCCCAGCAATTTGGAAGGCTGAGGCTGGAGGATTACTTGAGCCCAGGAGTTCAAGACTAGCCTGGGCAAGATAGAGAGACTTCGACTCTATAAAAAATATAAAAAGAAATTAGCTCGGTGTGGGGATGCATATCTGTCATTCCAGCTACTCAGGAGGCTGAGGTAGGAGAATTGCTTGAGCCCAGAAGGTCAAGGCTGAAGTAAGCCATGATCACACCACTGCACTCCAGCCTGAGAAACAGAGCAAGCCTTTGTCTCAAAAAGAAACAGTTAAAAAAGTATTATGGTTGATAAGTATAATTGTTTTGAGTGCCAACAACTAATTTTTAAAAAGAACATTTAAAAGACAGAGTTCTTCTCAAAATAATGTTTTGTTACAGTATGTCCAATTTATAGAAACTATCACATAACTGTTTGAATAAGAATATCAAGATTACAAAGATAGGCAAATAGGTAGATATAGGAAGAAAATTGTCTGGCTAAGCCAGTGATCCATGTGATATTTTTAAGATAGATAATTTATAGCATTTTCCAGTAAAACATAGAAAAGACTAAATACATTTTGGAGGGGCCAAAGGTAAAACAAGATACCTACTCAATGTTTTCCTGGCAGTATAATATATGACAAAGAAATAAATAATTTTTAGTAACATTTAAGACTATAATCCTAATCCTTGTATATAAAGAATGTTACACTGGAGTTTAATTTTAAAGAAAAATATACGTGTACAGTTTCTTAAAGATATGAAAATTACATTACATGATATATATAATACTGAATATAAGTTTTTAATTTTAAACTTTTGAGTGTAGAATTTTTAAACATAATTAAATGGCAATGATAACTAAAAATTATATGATGCTTATAATGTGTCAGGTATTAAGTGCTTTAATTAACTCAATCCTCATTCAAAAGAATGTGAAGAATAGAGGTAGGGTCTATGATCCCATTGAAAAAAATAAAAAACAAATTATGCAAAGAAATTCATGAAAAGAGTAACAGATAAAATGGACATGATGAACAAAGAGTTAGCTAGCTAGGTAGGGGGTGGAGGAGGGGTTTTAAGTAGAATAAGAAATCAGATATTTTGTAGGGTGCCATTTAATATACAAGCAAGGGTTATTGGAAAGAAATCTGAAAATGTCATAAGGCAGTTTCATTAATCAGCAATAATGAATTCTGTAAAGTACTACATGTTTAAAATAAAATACATATATCAGATATAGGTCAAATTCTAAAATAAAATACATATATCAGATATAGGTCAAATTCTCAACTATCTTTTTATAAAGATTTAAAAATATGTCTTTTACCAATATAAAAAGTCAAAACAGTATAATAACAAAGATAGTACAAGTATCAGTGAGAAAGAAGATAGGAGGAAGGAGTTTTGGGAGAAGAAAAGACAAAACAGAAGTCAAAAGACAACTACTGCTAAATAGCTGTTTAGCAATCCAAATATTCTGGTTTCATCCCCATTCATTCCAAAGGTCATAATTCCCAATTTGACCAATAGTGTCATTCTCTTTTGACTCATTTTGGATACATATACTTTTTAAATCAACCAGAGTTTTGGGAGGCTGAAGCAAGAGGATCTGTTGAGGCCAGGAGTTTGAGACCAGTGTGGGCAACATAATGAGACCCTGTCTTTGAAAAAAAATTTAAAAAATTAGTTGGGCATGGTGGCATGAACTGGTAATCCTACCAATTTGGGAGGCTGAGGTAGGATTATCACTTGAGCTCAGGAGTTCGAGGCTGCAGTGAAGCATGACTGCCCCACTGCACTCCAGCCTGGGCAAAAGAGCAAGAACCTGACTCAAAAAAAAATCATTAAAGATCCCTTTTCAAGTAAGAATGATTTTTATGTTACTGAGTGAATTGTGGCATTTTAGGGCAAAAATGAGGAAATAATCTCAGAGCTCAAAGACTGGTTCTCTGAAATAACTCAGTTGGAAAAAAATTTTTAAAAATATTAAAGAAGTATAAATAAAACCTCCAAGAAATACAGGATTATGTAAAGCGACCAAGTCTACACCTGATTGGCACCCTTGAAAGAGAAGGAGAGAAAGCAAACACCTTGGAAAACCTATTTCAGGATATTGTTCATGAACATTTCCCAAGCTCACTAACAAGGCTAACATCTAAATTCAGGAAATGCAGAGAATCCCTGCAAGATAATATACATGATGACCTTACCCAAGACACAAAGTCATCAGATTTTCCAAGGTTGAAATGAAAGAAAAAATGTTAAAGGAAGCTAGAGAAAATGGAGCAGATCACCTACAAAGGGAACTCCATTAGGCTGACAATAGATCTTTCAACAGAAACCCTAAAAGCCAAAAGGCACTGGAGGCTTGTATTCGGCATACTTAAATAAAAGAAATTCAAAGCAAGAATTTCATAGCCAGTCAAACTAAGCTTCATAAGCGAAGGAAAAATAAGATTCTTTTCAGAAAAGCTAATGCTAAAGGAATTTATTACCACCACACCTGCCTTAGAAGAGGTCCTGAAGATAGGGCTAAAAGTGGAAAAAAAAAAAAAAAAACTATTACCAGCCACCACAAATACACACTTAAGCACACAGATGACTGATACAATAAAGCAAACACACAAACAAATCTGCATAATGAATAGCTTATAACATGATGATAGAATGAAATCTGCACATATCAATATTAACCTTGAACATAAAGGCTTAAATGCCTCAAGTAAAAGGTACAAATTGGAAAGTTGGATAAAGAAACAAGATCCAATGGTATGCTGTCCTCAAGAGACCAATCTCACATATAATGACACCCAGACTCAAAGAAAACAGATGAAGAAAAATCTTTCATACAAATGGAAAATAGAAAAAAAAAGCAGGGATTGCTATACTAATTACAGACAGAACAGATTTTAAAGCAACAAAAGTCAAAAAGGAGAAATCAGGAAATGATATAGTAGTAAAGGGTTCAATTCAACAAAAAGACCTAACTATTCTAAAGATATATGCACCCAACACAGGAGCACCCAGATTCATAAGGCAAGTTCTTAAAAACCTATAAAGATACTTAGATAACCACACAATAATAGCAGGAGAGTTCAATGCCCCACTGACAGTATAAGAAAAATCATTGAGGCAGAAAACTAACAAAGTTATTCAGGACCTGAACTCAACACCTGACCAAATTGACCTAATAGACATCTACAGAATTCTCTGAAAAACAAGAGAATATAAATTCACAGCTGCACATGGCACATACTCTAAAATTGACCACACAATCAGCCAAAAAACAATCCTCAGCAAATTCCAGAAAGAAAGAAAGAAAGAAAAATTCATACCAACCACATGTTCAGACCACAGCACCCCCCACCCCAAACAGACATCAATACTAAGAAAATTGCTCAAAACCATACAGTTACATGAAATTCAACCTGTGCCTGGATGACTTCAGGGTAAACGAGGAAATTAAGGCAGAAATCAAGACATTCTTTGAAATTAGTAAGAAAAAAGGGACAACATACCAGAATCCCTGGGACACAACTAAAGCAGTGTTAAAGGGAAGTTTATAACACTAAACGATGACATCAAAACGTTAGGAAGATAAAAAAAAAAAACCAACTAACATAACGTAAAGAGGAAAAATAAAAACAAAAGCAAATTAACCTCCAAACCAGCAGAAGATAATACCATAATCACAGCCGAACTGAAGGAAATTCAGATGCAAAAAAAAAAAAAAAAAAATTCAAAATATCAATGAAGCCAGGAGTTGGTTCTTTGAAAGAATAAATAAGATAGACAACTACCTAGATTAGTAAAGACAAAAGAGAGAATATCCAAATAAACAAAATCAGAAATGACTACAGGGACATTACCACTGACCCAACAGAAATACAAAAAAAAAAGAAAAAAACCTTGAGTACCTCTACACACACAAACTAGAAAACCTAGAATAACTGGATAAATTCCTGTAAACATACAACAACTGAGATTGAACCAGGAATAAACTCAATCCCTGAACAAACCAGTAATGAGTTCTAAAATCAAATCAGTAATAAAAAGCCTAAAAATCAGAAAGTACAAAGACCAGACAGATTCACACTGAATTTTATCAAATGTATAAGGAAGAGCTGGTGCCATTCCCATTGAAACCAGTCCCAAAAACTGAGGAGGAGGTGCTGTTCCCTAACTCATTCTATGAGGCCAACAAGATCTTGATAACCACAAAACGGCAAAGTCAAAACAAAAAAGAAAACTTCAGGCCAATATCCTTAATAAACATGGATGCAAAAATCCTCATGAAAACATCAGCAAACCGTATCAAGCAACACATTAAAAAGTTAATCCATCATGATCAAGTAGGCTTTATCCCTGGGATGTAAGGTTGGTTCAACATATGCAAATCAATAAATGTTCACATAAACAGAACTAAAAACAACAACAACATGAAAATCTCAATAGATGCAGAAAAGGCTTTTGATAAAATTTAACATCCATTTATGTTAAAAAATCTTAATAAACTAGGTATTGAAGGAACATATCTCAAAATAATAACAGCCATATATGACAAACCCAAAGCCAATCATACTTAATGGGCAAAAGCTGGAAGATTTCCCTTGCAAACCAGAACAGGACAGGTATGCCCATTCTCAAGACTCCTATTCAACACAGTACTGGCAGTCCTAGCTAGAAAAATCAGGCAAAACAAACAAACAACAAAAAAATAAAGGGTATCCAAATAGGAAGACAGGAAGTCAAACTATCACTGATTGTTGATTATATTATTCTATACCTAGAAAACCCTATAGGCTCTGCCCAAAAGATTCTTGATCTGATAAACAACTTCATCAAATCTTCAGGATACAAAACTAATGTATGAAAATCAGTAGCATTTCTCTACACCAACAACATCCAAGCTGAGAGCCAAATGAAGAATGCAATACCATTCAAAATAGCCACAAAAGGAATAAAATACCTGGGAATACATCTAAGCAGGGAGGTAAAAGATTGCTACAATGAGAATTACAAAACACTGATAAAAATATCAGACATAATACAAAAAAGGAAAAGCATTTCATGTTCATATATAGGAAAAATCAATATTGTGAGAAAGGAAAATAAATCTTGGGACCCCAAAATCACTAAGTTAAAGGGAAAAGTCAAGCTGGGAACAGCTTAAGGCAAACCTGTTTCCTATTCTATTCAAAGTCATCCCTCTGAGGCTCACTTGAGACAAATCCATATCTCATTGCTTCCTCTCCCCTATTCTTTATGTAAAAATGCAGATTCACTGAGCCAGATTAAATTATGTATTCAGTGGAAGGCTGATCAAGGACTCACAATAATGCAACCTTTTGTCTCTTATCTACTTCTAACCTGGAAACACCTACTTTGAGTTGTCCCACCTTACAAGACTGAACCAATGTAAGTCTTACACATACTGACTGTAAGACCTGTCTTATGTCTCCCTAAAATGTATAAAAACAAACTGTACGCCTGACCACCTTGGGCAGATGTCTCAGGACTTCCTGAGGCTGTTGCGGGCACGTCCTTAACCTTGGCAAAATAAACCTAAATTGACTGAGACCTGTTGCAGATATTTGGGGTTCACATTTTGGTGGCCATGAAGGGATTCTGAGTGGAGGTGCCCCTGATCTATGACAAATCTATCAGTACCAGCTTGAGCTATCTTTATGGTTCAAACCAATAGGACAATTTTCTGAGGCCTGGAAGCTCCCCCTCCAGAGAATCCCTGACCTCCCAAGCTTTAGTCAAGATCTAAAGTTTATTTTACTGTACAACTCCTTCTTTTTGGAGTTTTACTTGCTGCCAACAACAAAGGCAAGTCTTCCTGCTTTCATGATGGAAGGCAGGTAACTCCTTCCTGGAGTTTGAGTTTGCTTCCAACAGGGAAGGAGAGTTTGAGTTTTTTCCTGCTTCTAGGATGACAGAGAACAGCTTCAGACCCATCCCAAGGTAAATACCTGAATTGGAATTTTGTTTTCACTAAAGTTAAGATTAACAACCAGCTGATCTTCATTTCTCCTTACCACTGGAGTGCTCAGTAATCACATAAATTGTGCAATTCTTTGCTTTGCTTAACTATTTTTTTGTTGTTTGCTTGTTTCTGTTTTTGTTGTTGTTTTGGTCTTTTTCCCACTGGGTTTGACCAACTCTTTCTGACTTGATCAAATCCAAAGGAAAGCTCCAAATTATGTGTGTATTAGTTCATTTTCATGCTGCTGATACATACCCGAAACTGGGAACAAAATGAGGTTTAATTGGACTTACAGTTCCACATGGCTGAGGAGGCCTCAGAATCATGGTGAGGGTGAAAGGCACTTCTGATGTGGTGGAGGCAAGAGAAAAATGAGGAAGAAGCAAAAGCGGAAAACCCTGATAAACCCATCAGATCTTGGGAGACTTATTCACTATCACAAGAATAGCATGGGAAAGACCAGCCCCCATGATTCAATTACCTCCCCCTGGGTCCATGCCCCAACATGTGGGAATTCTGGGAGATACAATTCAAGTTGATATTTGGGTGGAGACAAAGCCAAACCATATCATTTTGCCCCTGGTCTCTCCAAATCTCATGTCCTCACATTTCAAAACCATGTCTTATGAATCTATAAGGTCTACTCCTAACTACATGTCGAATATGTCTATGTATTTACGCATCAAATATATGATGTTTCACCATTAAAAATGTATAAAAGAACTATAATTGGCTTTTTAAAAAGGTGCTTAAATCAAATACTTAATCAGAAATATAGAGACTTTAAGCCAAATGCTTTTTCAAGTTCACATGGCTTAACTAAATCTTTAATAAATAATATGGTTTTAAAAATTTGGTGAAATAGAATTAGAAATGGCTTCACAATTGTCAGCATACGTTATTTATCTCTGCTAGATGTCAAAATTTGGTATGAGGGTTATAAATCTGTAAATGTGGCTCAAAAGAGAATTATCTTTGTTTACATAAAATTTAATAAATAAGACATTTAACATTGGTTGGTTAATGAAAACAACTAAATCTTGACTTACTGGCAAAAAAAAAATATAGTAACACCAAAACAAAAACCCCACATTTATCTAATTTTAATGTTCTTACTTAGGAAAACCTGGAATCCACAGGTTATATAAATGTTTAACAAGAAAACTTTAAACTTTAAATAACTATCATATTTTTCATAAGTAATCTGGGTAAACTATTAAAAAATAATAATTAATTATGACAAAAATGCTGATAGTGATATGAACAATAAGGTCCAGGCTGAGGTGGTCTCAGATGGGGATGAGGAACTTGTTAGGAACTAGAGAAAAGGTGACTCTTATTATGTTTTAGCAAAGTGACTGGCAGCATTTTGCCCCTGCCCTAGAGATTTGTGGAACTTTGAACTTGAGAGAGATGATTTACGGTATCTGGCAGAAGAAATTTCTAAGCAGCAAAGCATTCAAAAGGTGACTTGTGTGCTGTTAAAAGCATTCCATTTTAAAAGGAAAACAGAGCAAAAAGTTCAGAAAACTTTCAGCTTGACAATGCAGTGGAAAAGAAAAGCCTGTTTTTTGAGAAGAAATTCAGGCCGGCTGCAGAAATTTTCAGAAGTAGCAAGGAGCCTAGTGTTAATCCCCAAGACTACAGGGAAAATGTCTCCAGGCCACGTCAGAGACCTTCGTGGCAGCCTCTCCTATCACAGGCCCGGGGGCCCAGGAGGAAAATGTGGTTTTGTGGGCCAGGTCCAGGGTCCCCCTGCTGTGTGCAGCCAAGTGACTTGGTGCCCTGTGTCCCAGCTGCTCCCCAGCCATGGCTGAAAGGGGCCAACGTACAGCTCGAGCTGTGACTCCAGAGGGTGGGAGCCCCAAGCCTTGGCAGCTTCCATGTGGCATTGAGCCTGCAGGTGCACAGAAGTTAAGAATTGAGGTTTGGGAACCTCCTCCTAGATTTTAGAAGATGTATGGAAATGCCTGGATGCCCAGGCAAAAGTTTGCTCCAGGGGTGGGGCCCCTCTGTTAGGGCAGTGTGGAAGGGAAATGTGGGGTTGGAGCCCCCACACAGAGTCCTTACTGGGGTACTGCCTAGTGGAGCTGTGAGAAGATGGCCACCATCCTCCAAACCCCAGAATGGTAGCTCCACTGGCAGTTTGCACCATGTGCCTCGAAAAGCCGTAGACTCTCAAAGCCAATTAATAATTAATTAGGTAAATGTAATGGAATAAATGCTTGTAGATAATCCTGTCATATAATTTAAAATCTAAAGTTATATTAAGCTAAATAATTGATAGTTATTAAATGTCTGGGTCATTTCCAATTTTTTTTAATTACAAGAAAACACTTTTTCTGAAAAAAAGAAATGTGTTCTTATTAAAAAATACTTTTTGTCTAATTCAAAGGTTATTTAAAAGTTATTTTAAAAATTATGTAAAGGTAATCAGTGAATAAGAACAATGTAAAGTAAGTTATAAACATAAAGAGGAATTTTTGGCAAGAAAGGTTAAAAGAAAAATAATTTTATATGAGAAAAAAATCTTGTACGGTAAATTTTTGTCCTAAAATAAAACAACTAGTTATTTAAGAAAGACGAATGTCTAGGATAAAACAGTAAGTTCAAGCATGTAGTAAATGATTTGTGTCAATTTGTCTATAATTAAAGGGAAATCATTTATAAAAGTCTTTCTAGAGATTGGGTTTTGATGTTAAGAAAACCACTTATACACTAAAGACTTGGTTAGAACACTGAAATTTTCTTTCTTTTTTTTTTATTATACTTTAAGTTTTAGGGTACATGTGCACATTGTGCAGGTTAGTTACATATGTATACATGTGCCATGCTGGTGCGCTGCACCCACTAACTCGTCATCCAGCATTAGGTATATCTCCCAATGCTATCCCTCCCCCCTCCCCCCACCCCACAACAGTCCCCAGAGTGTGATGTTCCCCTTCCTGTGTCCATGTGTTCTCATTGTTCAATTCCCACCTATGAGTGAGAATATGAGGTGTTTGGTTTTTTGTTCTTGCGATAGTTTACTGAGAATGATGATTTCCAATTTCATCCATGTCCCTACAAAGGACATGAACTCATCATTTTCTATGGCTGCATAGTATTCCATGGTGTATATGTGCCACATTTTCTTAATCCAGTCTATCATTGTTGGACATTTGGGTTGGTTCCAAGTCTTTGCTATTGTGAATAATGCCACAATAAACATACGTGTGCATGTGTCTTTATAGTAGCAAGATTTATAGCCCTTTGGGTATATACCCAGTAATGGGATGGCTGGGTCAAATGGTATTTCTAGTTCTAGATCCCTGAGGAATCGCCACACTGACTTCCACAATGGTTGAACTAGTTTACAGTCCCACCAACAGTGTAAAAGTGTTCCTATTTCTCCACATCCTCTCCAGAACCTGTTGTTTCCTGACTTTTTAATGATTGCCATTCTAACTGGTGTGAGATGGTATCTCATTGTGGTTTTGATTTGCATTTCTCTGATGGCCAGTGATGGTGAGCATTTTTTCATGTGTTTTTTGGCTGCATAAATGTCTTCTTTTGAGAAGTGTCTGTTCATGTCCTTCGCCCACTTTTTGATGGGGTTGTTTGTTTTTTTCTTGTAAATTTGTTTGAGTTCATTGTAGATTCTGGATATTAGCCCTTTGTCAGATGAGTAGGTTGTGAAAATTTTCTCCCATTTTGTAGGTTGCCTGTTCACTCTGATGGTAGTTTCTTTTGCTGTGCAGAAGCTCTTTAGTTTAATTAGATCCCATTTGTCAATTTTGGCTTCTGTTGCCATTGCTTTTGGTGTTTTGGACATGAAGTCCTTGCCCATGCCTATGTCCTGAATGGTGATGCCTAGGTTTTCTTCTAGGGTTTTTATGGTTTTAGGTCTAACGTTTAAGTCTTTAATCCATCTTGAATTGATTTTTGTATAAGGTGTAAGGAAGGGATCCAGTTTCAGCTTTCTACATATGGCTAGCCAGTTTTCCCAGCACCATTTATTAAATAGGGAATCCTTTCCCCATTGCTTTTCTCAGGTTTGTCAAAGATCAGATAGTTGTAGATATGCGGTGTTATTTCTGAGGGCTCTGTTCTGTTCCATTGATCTATATCTCTGTTTTGGTACCAGTACCATGCTGTTTTGGTTACTGTAGCCTTGTAGTATAGTTTGAAGTCAGGTAGTGTGATGCCTCCAGCTTTGTTCTTTTGGCTTAGGATTGACTTGGCGATGCGGGCTCTTTTTTGGTTCCATATGAACTTTAAAGTAGTTTTTTCCAATTCTGTGAAGAAAGTCATTGGTAGCTTGATGGGGATGGCATTGAATCTGTAAGTTACCTTGGGCAGTATGGCCATTTTAATGATATTGATTCTTCCCACCCATGAGCATGGAATGTTCTTCCATTTGTTTGTATCCTCTTTTATTTCCTTGAGCAGTGGTTTGTAGTTCTGCTTGAAGAGGTCCTTCACATCCCTTGTAAGTTGGATTCCTAGGTATTTTATTCTCTTTGAAGCAATTGTGAATGGGAGTTCACTCATTTGGCTCTCTATTTGTCTGTTATTGGTGTATAAGAATGCTTGTGATTTTTGTACATTGATTTTGTATCCTGAGACTTTGCTGAAGTTGCTTATCAGCTGAAGGAGATTTTGGGCTGAGACAATGGGGTTTTCTAGATATACAATCATGTCGTCTGCAAACAGGGACAATTTGACTTCCTCTTTTCCTAATTGAATACCCTTTATTTCCTTCTCCTGCCTAATTGCCCTGGCCAGAACTTCCAACAGTACGTTGAATAGGAGTGGTGAGAGAGGGCATCCCTGTCTTGTGCCAGTTTTCAAAGGGAATGCTTCCAGTTTTTGCCCATTCAGTATGATATTGGCTGTGGGTTTGTCATAGATAGCTCTTATTATTTTGAAATACGTCCCATCAATACCTAATTTATTGAGGGTTTTTAGCATGAAGGGTTGTTGAATTTTGTCAAAGGCTTTTTCTGCATCTATTGAGATAATCATGTGGTTTTTGTCTTTGGCTCTGTTTATATGCTGAATTACGTTTATTGATTTGCGTATATTGAACCAGCCTTGCATCCCAGGGATGAAGCCCACTTGATCATGGTGGATAAGCTTTTTGATGTGCTGCTGGATTCGGTTTGCCAGTATTTTATTGAGGATTTTTGCATCAATGTTCATCAAGGATATTGATCTAAAATTCTCTTTTTTGGCTGTGTCTCTGCCCGGCTTTGGTATCAGAATGATGCTTGCCTCATAAAATGAGTTAGGGAGGATTCCCTCTTTTTCTATTGATTGGAATAGTTTCAGAAGGAATGGTACCAGTTCCTCCTTCTACCTCTGGTAGAATTCGGCTGTGAATCCATCTGGTCCTGGACTCTTTTTGGTTGGTAAACTATTGATTATTGCCACAATTTCAGCTCGTGTTATTGGTCTATTCAGAGATTCAACTTCTTCCTGGTTTAGTCTTGGGAGAGTGTATGTGTCGAGGAATTTATCCATTTCTTCTAGATTTTCTAGTTTATTTGCGTAGAGGTGTTTGTAGTATTCTCTGATGGTAGTTTGTATTTCTGTGGGATCTGTGGTGATATCCCCTTTATCATTTTTTATTGTGTCTATTTGATTCTTCTTTTTTCCTTTATTAGTCTTGCTAGCGGTCTATCAATTTTGTTGATCCTTTCAAAAAACCAGCTCCTGGATTCATTAATTTTTTGAAGGGTTTTTTGTGTCTCTATTTCCTTCAGTTCTGCTCTGATTTTAGTTATTTCTTGCCTTCTGCTAGCTTTTGAATGTGTTTGCTCTTGCTTTTCTAGTTCTTTTAATTGTGATGTTAGGGTGTCAATTTTGGATCTTTCCTGCTTTCTCCTGTGGGCATTTAGTGCTACAAATTTCCCTCTACACACTGCTTTGAATGTGTCCCAGAGATTCTGGTATGTTGTGTCTTTGTTCTCGTTGGTTTCAAAGAACATCTTTATTTCTGCCTTCATTTCGTTATGTATCCAGTAGTCATTCAGGAGCAGGTTGTTCAGTTTCCATGTAGTTGAGCAGTTTTGAGTGAGATTCTTAATCCTGAGTTCTAGTTTGATTGTACTGTGGTCTGAGAGATAGTTTGTTATAATTTCTGTTCTTTTACATTTGCTGAGGAGAGCTTTACTTCCAACTATGTGGTCAATTTTGGAATAGGTGTGGTGTGGTGCTGAAAAAAATGTATATTCTGTTGATTTGGGGTGGAGAGTTCTGTAGATGTCTATTAGGTCCACTTGGTGCAGAGCTGAGTTCAATTCCTGGGTATCGTTGTTGACTTTCTGTCTCGTTGATCTGTCTAATGTTGACAGTGGGGTGTTAAAGTCTCCCATTATTATTGTGTGGGAGTCTAAGTCTCTTTGTAGGTCACTCAGGACTTGCTTTATGAATCGGGGTGCTCCTGTATTGGGTGCATATATATTTAGGATAGTTAGCTCTTCTTGTTGAATTGATCCCTTTACCATTATGTAATGGCCTTCTTTGTCTCTTTTGATTTTTGTTGGTTTAAAGTCTGTTTTATCAGAGACTAGGATTGCAACCCCTGCCTTTTTTTGTTTTCCATTTGCTTGGTAGATCTTCCTCCATCCTTTTATTTTGAGCCTATGTGTGTCTCTGCCCATGAGATGGGTTTCCTGAATACAGCACACTGATGGGTCTTGACTCTTTATCCAATTTGCCAGTCTGTGTCTTTTAATTGGAGCATTTAGTCCATTTACTTTTAAAGTTAATATTGTTATGTGTGGATTTGATCCTGTCATTATGATGTTAGCTGGTTATTTTGCTCGTTAGTTGATGCAGTTTCTTCCTAGTCTCGATGGTCTTTACATTTTGGCATGATTTTGCAGTGGCTGGTACCGGTTGTTCCATTCCATGTTTAGTGCTTCCTTCAAGAGCTCTTTTAGGGCAGGCCTGCTGGTGACAAAATCTCTCAGCATTTGCTTGTCTGTAAAGTATTTTATTTCTCCTTCACTTATGAAGCTTAGTTTGGCTGGATATGAAATTCTGGGTTGAAAATTCTTTTCTTTAAGAATGTTGAATATTGGCCGCCACTCTCTTCTGGCTTGTAGGGTTTCTGCCAAGAGATCCGCTGTTAGTCTGATGGGCTTCCCTTTGAGGGTAACCCGACCTTTCTCTCTGGCTGCCCTTAACATTTTTTCCTTCATTTCAACTTTGGTGAATCTGACAATTATGTGTCTTGGAGTTGCTCTTCTCGAGGAGTATCTTTGTGGCGTTCTCTGTATTTCCTGAATCTGAACGTTGGCCTGCCTTGCTAGATTGGGGAAGTTCTCCTGGATAATATCCTGCAGAGTGTTTTCCAACTTGGTTCCATTCTCCCCATCACTTTCAGGTACACCAATCAGACATAGATTTGGTCTTTTCACATAGTCCCATATTTCTTGGAGGCTTTGCTCATTTCTTTTTATTCTTTTTTCTCTAAACTTCCCTTCTCGCTTCATTTCATTCATTTCATCTTCCATTGCTGATACCCTTTCTTCCAGTTGATCACATCGGCTCCTGAGGCTTCTGCATTCTTCACGTAGTTCTCGAGTCTTGGTTTTCAGCTCCATCAGCTCCTTTAAGCACTTCTCTGTATTGGTTATTCTAGTTATACATTCTTCTAAATTTTTTTCAAAGTTTTCAACTTCTTTGCCTTTGGTTTGAATGTCCTCCCGTAGCTCAGAGTAATTTGATTGTCTGAAGCCTTCTTCTCTCAGCTCGTCGAAGTCATTCTCCATCCAGCTTTGTTCTGTTGCTGGTGAGGAACTGCGTTCCTTTGGAGGAGGAGAGGTGCTCTGCGTTTTAGAGTTTCCAGTTTTTCTGTTCTTTTTTCTCCCCATCTTTGTGGTTTTATCTACTTTTGGTCTTTGATGATGGTGATGTACAGATGGGTTTTTGGTGTGGATGTCCTTTCTGTTTGTTAGTTTTCCTTCTAACAGACAGGACCCTCAGCTGCAGGTCTGTTGGAATACCCTGCCGTGTGAGGTGTCAGTGTGCCCCTGCTGGGGGGTGCCTCCCAGTTAGGCTGCTCGGGGGTCAGGGGTCAGGGACCCACTTGAGGAGGCAGTCTGCCCGTTCTCAGATCTTCAGCTGCGTGCTGGGAGAACCACTGCTCTCTTCAAAGCTGTCAGACAGGGACATTTAAGTCTGCAGAGGTTACTGCTTTTTGTTTGTCTGTGCCCTGCCCCCAGAGGTGGAGCCTACAGAGGCAGGCAGGCCTCCTTGAGCTGTGGTGGGCTCCACCCAGTTCGAGCTTCCCTGCTGCTTTGTTTACCTAAGCAAGCCTGGGCAATGGTGGGCGCCCCTCCTCCAGCCTCGCTGCCGCCTTGCAGTTTGATCTCAGACTGCTGTGCTAGCAATCAGCGAGACTCCCTGGGCGTAGGACCCTCCGAGCCAGGTGCGAGATATAATCTCGTGGTGCGCCGTTTTTTAAGCCGGTCCGAAAAGCGCAATATTTGGGTGGGAGTGACCCGATTTTCCAGGTGCGTCCGTCACCGCTTTCTTTGACTGAGAAAGGGAACTCCCTGACCCCTTGCGCTTCCCAGGTGAGGCAATGCCTCGCCCTGCTTCGGCTCGCGCACGGTGCGTGCACCCACTGACCTGCGCCCACTGTCTGGCACTCCCTAGTGAGATGAACCCGGTACCTCAGATGGAAATGCAGAAATCACCCGTCTTCTGTGTTGCTCACACTGGGAGCTGTAGACCGGAGCTGTTCCTATTCGGCCATCTTGGCTCCTCCCCTGAAATTTTCTTAACAGATTGATTTACTCTTAAATTATAAGAGATTTTAATTCTTTATAAACTCAAAGTTCAACTTTTATTGTGTCTCACTGTTTTCAGTTTTCTCTCCCCTTTTAAAGGGTGAAAAATAATAACGCTCTCCTTCAACTCATTTTCAGTTCATATAATTTTTTCCCCTCGGGTTCTGTTTCTTGTGGCCTGATGCTAAAAATGTTTTCTTAAAGGTCTAAAGGAAGTGTTTCCTTCCAACAATATTCTGTGCACTGCAGAAGGTCTTTTCTTTTGCCTTTTCCTGGCCTAACAGATTTATGTTTTATTGAAATAATTCCTATGTCAGTATTATTAAGTTTTGGTTTGCTTAGAAAAAAACCGAGATTATAAAAATTCTTTAAATTAAGGTTATTACATCCATGTAACTTTCTGTATGTGTTTTTAAAGTCCTTGTGCCATTGAGTTACAGGGCTTTGACTCCTGCATCTAAAAAGGACACCAGATCCTGCTAAATCTTAAACACTGACAGCAATTTAAGCCACATCTTCAGGCCTGGTAGAAGATGCCAGTCAAAATAAACTGCATTCGTGAAACACAGGGCCAGAAATTAAAACAATAGTTTTTATTAACTCCTCAAGGCCCAGAAACTATTGCGGAAGAGATGAGTGCATGAGATTTAAGGGCCGATTTTAAGAGATAAAATTAGTTCAGTTTCTATAGAAATTAACCATTAATATCAAAGGCACACTGATACAAAACCAGCATGCGGGCCCCTGTGTCAGATAAACAAGGTTTTCTCGGAGCATTAACACACTCCTTAATACAAAATTATAAAGGTTACAAACCGGTTTATGGAAATTATATCTTATGGTCAATATTATTAACATTTTATAGATTTTTTACAAGATTTTGAGAGACAGATTTAACTGGTCTTGTGCTATCTTTATTACATCACATTGTTTCAGAAATTAAGTCTCCACTCTCAAAGAATAAAGGTTTCTGTCTTTTTTTGAAATCTCTGAGTTATCACTTTGGCTAAATGAATGACTTATTTTATAATGACCTGTGATCCCATTCTGATGATATTGTTTTAAACTTTTTATAAATGTTATTATTTTATTAATGTTATTAAACACAGATTCACTGAACCAGACGAAATTGTGTATTCAGTGGAAGGCTGGTCAAGAACTCAAAAGAATGCAATCTTTCTGTCTCTTACCTATTTCTAACCCGGAAGCCCCTACTTTAAGTTGTCCCACCTTACCGGACCAAACCAATGTACATCGTACATATACTGATTGATGTCTCATGTCTTGCTAAAATGTATAAAAGCAAACTGTACCCTGACCACCTTGGGCACATGTCTCAGGACTTCCTCAGGGGTGTGTTCTTAACCTTGGCAAAATAAACTTTCTAAATTGACTGAGACCTGTCTCAGATATTTGGGGCTCACAATTGTTACAAGGGCCAATCCACCCAAAGCAATCTACAAATTCCACCCAAGCAGATATCTGGCAATGTGTGGAGGCATTTGTGGTTGGCACCACTAGGGGCATGAGGACTGCTACTGGCCATCTGGTGGATAGAAGCTAGGGATACCCTAAACATCTTATAAAGCACAGGGAAGCTTGCCACAACAAAGAATTATCCAGCTAGGGATACTCTAAACATCTTATAAAGCACAGCGAAGCTTGCCACAACAAAGAATTATCCAACCTAAATGTCGACAGTGCTGAGGCTGAGAAACCCAGTGTTATTAGAAAGCACTGATATATACTCAGATTCAATGAGGTGTATTGCTAGTAAAAGATGCCAAGGTCTCTAAAACCATCAGATATCATTTTGTAAAAACTGCGAGAAAATGCTGGTTTAAGAAGGGAAAATAATAGCATGTTATCAGGTAAATAACAATGTCTTAAGGGTATTTTACCTTGTCACTGGGCTAATTTTTGTGTAAGATTCATTTTTTTAAACCTTAAGAAAAAACCAGACTATTTTAAATTTTTACTTGAAATGCATTTAATTGATTGTTTATAAGAGTGCATTTTAATATCATTGATACATGTTCACTTGAAAATATTTGAGCAACAGTAAAAAATACAAATATGAGCGAAACATATTACCTTTAATTCTACCAGCATCAACATTTGAAGAACCACTTTCTGGAGCACTTTGCTCTCACTGTGCATGCATCATAGGGACGTTATAAATAAATAATTTTACACCATAGGGAGAGACAGATTGCAATGCAATAATAGTAGGGGGCTTCAGCACCCCACTTTCAATCATGGAAAGATCATCCAGACATAAAATTAATAAGCAAACACTGGACGTGAAAATACTTTAGGCCAAATGGACCTAATAGCCATATACTGAACATTCTATCTAATGGCAACAGAATACACATTTTATTAAGTACACACATAATATTCTACAGAAAAGATCATGTTAGCCTACGAGACAAGTCTTAGCAAGTTTAAGAACACTGATATCATATCAAGTAACTTTTCCAGCCACAATGGTATGAAACCAAAAATGAATAACAGGAGAAATTATATAAAATTCACAAATACATGAAAATTAAATACCATGCTCCTGAAAAAACAGTGGGCCAATTAAGAAAAGGGAGACTTAAATATTTCTGGAGACAAATGAAAATGGAAATATAACATACCAAATTTATGGGCTGCAGCAAAAGCAGTTCTAAAAGGAAAGTCTTTAGCGATAAATACTTATATCAAAAAAGAAGACTGCAAGTAAATAAGTTAATGTGATGTTAATGAAATAGAAAAAATAACAAACTAAGTCCAATGTTAGCAGAAGGAAAAATAATAAATATCAGAGAAGAAATAAATGGAATCACAACTAGAAAAATAATACAAGAAATCTATAAAACTGAGTTAGTTTATTGAAAAGACAAACAAAATTGGCAAACCCTTAACTAGTCTAACCAAGAACAAAAGAGAAGGAACTCAAATAAATAAAATCAGAAATAAAACAAGAGACATTAAAACTGACACCACAGAAATACAATGGATCCTAGCAGACTACTATCAACAATTATATGCCAAAAATTAGATAACCTAGGAAAAAACAGATAAATTTCTAGACACATACAACCCCTACCAAGATTGAATCCCGAAAAATATAGAATATCTTAACAGATCCATAACAAGTGAGAAGATTGAATCAGTAACAAAAAATCTCCCATCAAAGAAAAGCCCAAGTGCTGATGGTTTCACTGTTGAATTTTACCAAACATTTAAAGAACAGCTAATACCAACTCTCCACAAACTTTATCAAAAAATTCCAGAGAGAATACTTCCAAACTATATAAGGCCAGAATTATCCTGATGCCAATGCCAAATGAAGAATGTCACAAGAAAAGAAACCTACAGGCCAGTATTCTTGATTAACATAGTTTAAAAATCCTCAACAAAATACAAGCAAGCTAAATTCAACAACATATTAGAAGGATCATTCACCATGATCAAGTGGTTTTATCCCTAGATGCAAAGATAGTTCAACATTCACACATTAATATATGTGAGATATCACATTAACAGAATGAAAGACATAAATCATATGATCATCTCATTAAATGCAGAAAAAATGACAAAATTCACCATCCTTTTATAGTAAATACACTCAAAAAATTAGGTATAGAAAGAATGTACTTCAACACAAAAAAGTCACATATAATAGGCCCACTGCTAACATTATACTCAAAGGTGAAAAAGTAGAACCTTTTTCTTTAAGATCATGAACGAGATAAGGAAACCTACTTTTACCACATCTATTCAACATAGTAGTGGACATCCTTTCCAGAACAATAAGGCAAAAGAAAGAAATAAAAGGCATCTAAACAGGAAAAGAGGTGAAATTTTTGCTGTTTGCTGATGACATGTTCTTATACATAGAATACCCTAAGCACCTCAGCAGAAATCTGTTAAAACTGATAAATGAATTCAGTAAAGTTACAAAATGCAAAGTTAATATGCAAAAATTGGTAGCATTTCTCTACATTAACAACACATTTTCCAAAGAAGATATCAAGAATAATCCTGTTTATGATAGCTACAAAAATATATATAGTTTAAAATAAATTTAACCAAACAGGTGAAAGACTTTTATAATGAAAACTATAAAATGTTATCAAAAGAGACTGAAGAAGACACAAATAAATGGAAAGATAGCTTACATTCGTGGATTTAAAAACATAATATTGTTATAATGTCCATACTACTCAAAGTGATCTACAGATTCAATGCAATCACTATAAAAAGTCCAATGTCACTTTTCAAACATATAGAAAAATAATCCGAAAATTAATATGGAGCCACCAAAACATAAAACCCAAACAGCCAAGGCAATCGTGAGCAAAAGGAACAAAGCTGGAGAGATCATACTACCTGATTTCAAACTATACCACAAGGTGCCTATCATAACTCTGAAAGACACAATTCCGAATGCCATAATCCTGAATGTTGAAATCCTGAACTGAAACCATAAAAGATGACAATTCCTAAAGTCTAAATCCTTAGAGTCTAAAAATCCCTAACATCAAATCCAGAAAATCACAAACACAAAAGATTATAATCCTGAATGCTGAAATCCTGAAAGCTGAATTCGGGGGAACAGATTAGTGCATTTTCAGTTGCATATAGGGTATTTGCATCATATTCACTGCATCATGTTAGGCAGAGCTATAACCCAGTTATTGTCATTATTTGGAAATTAAGTATTATTTAAGGAGATATGTGTGGATGCCAAGTTGTCAAGAGATGAATTTGCGGGCTTCATTTTAGGTGTAAACTTGACTGGATTAAGAAATCCCTGGAAACTCAGTAAAGTGATATTTTGGGTGTGTCCGTGAGGGTGTTTCCATAGGAAATTAGGATGTGAGTCTGTCCTTAGTGAACATCTGTCCTCACTGTTGGTAGGCACAATTCAATAGGCCAGAGACCCATAAAGAACACATTCAGAAGGCAAATGGTTCGCTCTTTGATAGCCGAGACTTTTCATCTGCTGCCTTGGACATCAGAACTCTAGCTTCACTGGCCTTTGGAGTACAGGACTTAATAGTAATATCTCTCTGGGTCCTGAGGTTTTTGGCCCTGGACTGAGAGTTACACCATCAGCTAGCTTCCCTGGTTCTGGAGCCTTCAGACTTGGACTGAGTCATGCTACTTGCATCCCAGGATCTCCAGCTTGCAGAAGGCCTGTAATGGGATGCCTTGGCCACTTTAATCATCTGAGCCAATTCCCCTAATATATTCCCTCCCAAATACCTAGATGCATATCTTATTGCTTCTGTCTCTCTGGAGAGCCCTAATACAGATTTGGTGTTTGGGAAGTCAAATATCATTTCTTCTTACTGTATCCCCTACAACACAATGGAAGAGATCTGTGAAATTGTTTCCCCACAAAAAGGCTGTAGTAAGTGTATAAGGCTACTTAATGGTGAAAAAAAAGTTTAAAAGCTAATCATTATTGGTGCTCTGAAAGCAGAGAATCACTTACTTACAATTTATTGTGTAAAGTGGCCTATACAGTGTTGTGTTGTATTTTTGCTTCTCCAATAATTCCCCTTTAAAAATGTTAATACATGTCTTTTGAATAGTTTTAAAATTCTTTTTTACTGAATTACATTTTCAGGATTTTGATTTTTCAGGATTTCAACATTCAGTATTATGGCATTCAGATTGTGTCTATCGGGCTTATGTCCAAAACCCACTACAAAGTGATAGTAATTAAAACAGCATGGCACTAGCCACAGACACATCGACCAATGGGAAAAAAAGAAAGCCTAGAAATAAATCCACATATCTATAGTCAATTTATTTTCTAAAAGAATGCCAAGAATATACAATGCAAAAATGACAACCCCTCCAATAAGTAGTGTTGGGAAAACCAATATCCACATGCAAAAGAATTAAATTGGACTCTCATCTCACACAATATATAAAATCAATTCAAAATGAACTAAAGACTTAAAAATGAGACTTGAAACTATAAGACAACTAGTAGAAAAACACGGGAGAAAACTACATGACACTGTTCTGGGCAATGATCTTCTACATTTGATCCCCAAAGCTCAGGTAACAAAAGCAAAAATAGACAAATGGGATTTCATCAAAATAAAAAGCTTCTGCACAACAAAGGACACAATTAACAAAATGAAGAGACATCCTAGAGATTGGGAGAAAATATCTGCAAACAACACATATGAGAAGGGATTATTGTCCAAAATATATAAGGAACTTAACACTATAGAATGAAAACAATCTAATTTAAAAAATGAGTAAGGTCTGGTAGTATGATACATGCAACGTTGTTATTTTTGGTCAGGTTTTCTTTGGCTATTCAGGGTCTTTCATGGTTCCATAGAAATTTTAGTATTTTGTTTCTGACCCCAAAATGTACCACAAAGCTGTAGTAACCCAAACAGCAAGGCACTGGCATTATAAAAAAAAAAGACACATAGATCAATGGAACAGAACAGAAAATCCAGAAATTAATCCACATGTCCATAGCCAATTGATCTTTGACAAAGGTACCAAGAAAATTAATTGGTGAAAGGACACTCTCTTCAATAAATGGTACTGGGAAAACTAGATATCCATATACACGAGGATGAAACTAGGCTACTGCTCCTTACCCTACATAAAAATCAACTCAAAATAGAAAAAAAAAACATAAATGTAAGTCCTGAAATGATAAAACGACTGAAAGAAAACACAGGTGAAATGTTTCAAAACATGAGTCTGGGAAAAGATTGTATAAATAAAGACCCCAAGATACAGGTAACAAAAGCAAATAAAAAACAAACAGGATTATATCAAACCAAAAACTTCTGCACAGCAAAGGAAATGTTATATATAACAGAGTAGAAACACAATGTACAGAATAGTAGAAAATATTTGCAAGCTACTCATCTGACAGGGGATTAACATCCAGAATATATAATGAACTCAAATATCTCAACAGCAAACAAAAAAAATGGACAAATGATCTGAACAAACATTTTTGATAGAAGGCAAACAAATGGCCAACAGATACTTGAAAAAATGTTCAACATCACTGATCAACAGGGAAATGAAAATCAAAATCATAATAAGGTATCATCTCACCCCAGCAAGGACGACTATTATCGAAAAGACAAAAAGTAACAGACGCTGGTGAGGATGTAGAGAAAAGGGAATGCCTATATGTTGTTGGTAGAAATGTAAACTAGTACAGCCATTATGAAAAACAGTATAGCTCCCTCTCCCTCTCCCTCTCCCTCTCCCTCCCTCGCCCTCTCCCACGGTCTCCGTCTCCCTCTCTTTCCACGGTCTCCCTCTGATGCCGAGCCGAAGCTGGACTGTACTGCTGCCATCTCGGCTCACTGCAACCTCCCTGCCTGATTCTCCTGCCTCAGCCTGCCGAGTGCCTGCGATTGCAGGCGCGCGCCGCCACGCCTGACTTGTTTTCGTATTTTTTTGGTGGAGACGGGGTTTCGCTGTGTTGGCTGGGATGGTCTCCAGCTCCTAACCGCGAGTGATCCGCCAGCCTCGGCCTCCCGAGGTGCCGGGATTGCAGACGGAGCTGGTTCACTCAGTGCTCCATGGTGCCCAGGCTGGAGTGCAGTGGCGTGATCTCGGCTTGCTACAACCTCCACCTCCCAGCCACCTGCCTTGGCCTCCCAAAGTGCCGAGAGTGCAGCCTCTGCCCGGCCACCACCCCGTCTGGGAAGTGAGGAGCGTCTCTGCCTGGCCGCCCATCGTCTGGGACGTGAGGAGCCCCTCTGCCTGGCTGCCCAGTCTGGAAAGTGAGGAGCGTCTCTGCCCGGCCGCCATCCCATCTAGGAAGTGAGGAGCGCCTCTTCCCGGCCGCCATCCCATCTAGGAAGTGAGGAGCATCTCTGCCCGGCCGCCCATCGTCTGAGATGTGGGGAGCGCCTCTGCCCCGCCACCCCGTCTGGGATGTGAGGAGCGCCTCTGCCCAGCTGCGACCCCGTCTGGGAGGTGAGGAGCGTCTCTGCCCGGCCGCCCCGTCTGAGAAGTGAGGAGACCCTCCACCTGGCAACCGCCCCATCTGAGAAGTGAGGAGCCCCTCCGCCCGGCAGCCACCCTGTCTGAGAAGTGAGGAGCCCCTCCGCCCGGCAACCACCCCGTCTGGGAAGTGAGGAGCATCTCCGCCCGGCAGCCACCCCGTCTGGGAGGGAGGTGGGGGTCAGCCCCCCCCCCGGCCAGACGCCCCGTCCGGGAGGTGAGGGGCGCCTCTGCCCAGCCGCCCCTACTGGGAAGTGAGGAGCCCCTCTGCCCGGCCAGCCGCCCCGTCTGGGAGGGAGGTGGGGGGGTCAGCCCCCCGCCCGGCCAGCCACCCCGTCTGGGAGGTGAGGGGCGCCTCTGCCCGGCCGCCCCTACTGGGAAGTGAGGAGCCCCTCTGCCCGGCCACCACCCCGTCTGGGAGGTGTACCCAACAGCTCATTGAGAACGGGCCATGATGACAATGGTGGTTTTGTGGAATAGAAAGAGGGGAAAGGCGGGGAAAAGATTGAGAAATCGGATGGTTGCCGTGTCTGTGTAGAAAGAGGTAGACATGGGAGACTTTTCGTTTTGTTCTGTACTAAGAAAAATTCTTCTGCCTTGTGATCCTGTTGATCTCTGACCTTACCCTCAACCCTGTGCCCTCTGAAACATGTGCTGTGTCCACTCAGGGTTAAATGGATTAAGGGCGGTGCAAGATGTGCTTTGTTAAACAGATGCTTGAAGGCAGCATGCTCGTTAAGAGTCATCACCACTCCCTAATCTCAAATACCCAGGGACACAAACACTGTGGAAGGCCGCAGGGTCCTCTGCCTAGGAAAACCAGAGACCTTTGTTCACTTGTTTATCTGCTGACCTTCCCTCCACTATTGTCCTATGACCCTGCCAAATCCCCCTCTGTGAGAAACACCCAAGAATGATCAATAAAAGAAAAAAAAAAGAAAAACAGTATAAAGTTTCCTCAAAAACTAAAACTATAACTACCATATGATCCAGCAATCTCACTACTTGGAATTAATCCAAAGGAAATGAAATTATTACATCAAAGAGACATCTGCACCCCCATGTTCCCAGTGGTACTATTCACAATAGCCAAGATATGGTATCAACCTAAGTTTCCAATAACTGATGAATAAAGAAAGTGTGGTATATATACTCAATGGAATGCTATTCAGCCATAAAAAGTAAAGAAACTGTCATTTGCAGTAATATGGAAGGACTGGAGGAGGTTATGTTAAGAAAAATAGGCCAGGAACAGAAACATACACTGCAGATTCTCACTCATATGTGGAAGCTAAAAAGAAGTTCATCTCACAGAAGCAAAAAAGTAAAACAGAGGATACTAGATGCTGGGAAGAGTAGGGGGAAGTGAGGAATAGGGAGAGATTTGTTAAAGGATAACAAAATTACAGCTGAATAGGAGGGATAACTTCTAGTTTTCTACGCCACTGTAGGATGAATATAGTTAACAATAATATATGGTTTCAAATAGCTAGAAAAAGGATATTTGACATTCCCAACACAAATAAATGATAAATGTTTGAGATGATGGATATGCTAATTATGCTGATTTGATCACTATAAATTATATGTATTGAGATATCACTATCTTACCCCATGAATATGTACAATTATTACTTATCAATTTACAATTGAAAAAAGAATGATTAGCATCAAAGAGACAAAAAATTACAAGTGTTGGGAAGGATGTGGAGAAAAGGAAACACACACTGTTGGTGAGAATATTAATTAGCACAGCTATTATAAAAAACAGTATACAGGCTCTTCCAAGAATTAAAAACAGAAATACCATATTATCCAGCAATCCCACTACTGGGTATATATATCCAAAGGAAATGAAATCAATATGTCAAAGAGATATCTGTACTCCCATACTTATGGCAGCACTACTAACAATAGCCAAGATAAATAATCAATCTGTTTCCATCAATGAACAAAGGAATAAAAAACATGTAGCATATATACACAATGGAGTATGACTCAACCATAAAAACAAATGAAACTTGTCATTTGCAACAACATGGATGAACCTGAAAAGCTTACATTAAGTAAAATAAGCCAGACACAGAAAGAAAAATACTGCATGATCTCACTCACAAGTGAAATCTAAAAAAGTTGTTCTCATAGAAATAGCAAATACAAGTATTTGCCAGAGACTGGGGAGGGAAGAGAGCAGGAGAGAATGGGGAGAGATCGGTCAACAGGTCCAAAGTTACAATTAGATAGGAGAAATAAGTTCTGGTATCCTATTGCACATTAGGGTGACTATAGTTAACGATAATGTATTGCATATTTCAAAATAGCTAGAAGAGAAAATTTTGAATATTCTCACTACAAAGACATGATAAAATTTGAGATGAGAGATACACTAATCATCCTGATGTGGTCATTACACAATGTATACATGTATCAAAACCTCACACTGTAACCTACAAACATGTACAATTATTATGTGTTAATTAAAATTTGTAATAAAGAATTGATAATAAAAAATAAATAAGCAGGCTGGGCATGGTGGCTCACGCCTGTAATCCCAGCACTTTGGGAGGCTGAGGTGGGTGGATCACTTGAGGTTGGGAGTTCGAGACCGGCCTGACCAACATGGAGAAACCCCTTCTCTACTAAAAAAATTACAAAATTAGCTGGGCGTGGTGGCGCATGTCTGTAATCCCAGCTACTCGGGAGGCTGAGGCAGGAGAATCACTTGGGAGGGGGAGGTTGCAGTGAGCTGAGATCACAGCATTGCACTCCAGCCTGGGCAACAACAGTGAAACTCTGTCTCAAAAAAAAAAAAAAAAAAAAAAAGGAAAGGACCTGAATAGACATTTCTCAAAAGAAGACATACAAATGGCCAACGAATACATGAAAAAAAAAAACTGCTCAACATCACTAATCATTAAGGAAATGAAAATCAAAAGCAAAATGAAATATCACATTATGCCTGTTAGAATAACTACTATCAAAAAGATGAAAGATAACAAGTGTTGGTGAGGATATGGAGAAAAGGAAACCCTTGTACACCGTTGGTGGGAATATAAATTAGTATAGCCATTATGGAAAACAGTATTGAGGTTCCTCAAAAACTAAAGATAGGATTAACACATGATCCAGCAATCCCTCTTCTAGGCATTTACCTGAAATATTTGAGATCAATATGTTGTAGAGATGTCTGCATTGTAATGTTCATTGCAGCACTATTCACAATAACCAAGATGTGGAAATAACCTAAGTGTTCATCCATCAATGAGTGGGTAAAAAATATGGTATATATAAATAATGGAATATTATTCAGCCTTGAAATGGAAGATATTCTGTCATCTGCAAAAACATGGATAGAATTGCAGAATATTATGCTAAGTGGTATAAGCCAAACACACACAAAAAAACAAATACTGCATGGTTTCACTTATATAGGGACTTTAGAATAATGGAGCTCATAAAAGCAGGGAGTAAAATGGTGGTTACCAGAGGCTGGGAGGTGATGGGAATAAGGAAATGATAGTAAAAGGTTACAAAGTCTCAGTTAGATAAGAGGAATAAATTTGATTTATTCTTAGATGTACTGCATAGCATGGTGAATATAGCTAATAATTGAGTATTCTATATTTCAATATTGCTAGTAAATTTGAAAATTCCTCATCACAAAAAATGTTAAATATTTGAAATAATGAATATGTTAATTCACTTGGTTTAATCATCCCACATTGTATTAAAAAATTATATAATCACATTGTACCCCATAAATATATACAAGTTTGTAATATGTAATAACAAAGGAAATTACCCAAACTTAAACACAATGGGAGGGGAGAGAAACGGGAAAAAAGAAGGAGTGAGGGGAGAAATATGAATGAATGAGAGAATCGTGCATCTAATACCTGTGAGCCAATATTTAATTGTTTAATATGAATGTGATTGGAATCCCAGAATGAAAATAGTGAACAAAGGAATATTTGGAGAGATGATGGACAATAATTTTCAAAAACAAGAAAATACATCAAATCACAGATTCAAGAAGCTCAGAGATCCCAAAACAGAATAAACTTTCACATACACACACCGAGACACATTATGTTCAACCAACAAGTTGGTTGTCAAATAATTCACAAAGAATATAAAAAAATTTTTCCTGAATGTATGCCTCCTGAGCCATGGGTCAGTTTCACACAGAGGTTGTTGTAGCTTCTTGGACCAGTAATAGTTTTTTATAAAAGCCTTTTAAAGACATATATGTGACTGTGTAAATTGGGTTTTAGAAAGCATAAAGAGAAGGAAAATAAGAGTTTTTATCATGTAAATGATGGGCATCACTGAAATCTTAATCATATTGTAGGGCAAAAAAAAGTTTAGAGAAGATAAATTTTAAGAATAAAATGAGAATGGCCGGGCGCGGTGGCTCACGCCTGTAATCCCAGCACTTTGGGAGGCCGAGGCGGGTGGATCATGAGGTCAGGAGATCGAGACCATCCTGGCTAACAAGGTGAAACCCCGTCTCTACTAAAAATACAAAAAATTAGCCGGGCGCGGTGGCGGGCGCCTGTACTCCCAGCTACTCGGGAGGCTGAGGCAGGAGAATGGCGTGAACCCGGGAAGCGGAGCTTGCAGTGAGCCGAGATTGCGCCACTGCAGTCCGCAGTCCGGCCTGGGCGACAGAGCGAGACTCCGTCTCAAAAAAAAAAAAAAAAAAAAAAAAAAAAAAAAGAATAAAATGAGAATAAAGCTATAAAATATTAAAAATTTGAAACCAAGTAAGATCACAGAAATTGGCCCATTAAGAATGGTCTTCAATAGTGCCTCAAAGTTATTTGTGGAAAAGCATAACGTTTATTTCAAAGAGTTATGGTTAAACCCACAAAGATTTGTAGGTTTCTTTAAGAGATTATTATTAAAAAGAGCTAATTAACCTAAATCCTTCTTTAAGAGATTATTATTAAAAAGAGCTAATTAACCTAAATCCTTCTTAAACACATCACAAAGAGCTGAAAAGTAAAGGACACTAAACTTGCCAAGCTCTTACCAAGCGTTAGGGATTATTAGGCCATTTATATTCTTTCTGCCATTTAATTCTAGCTATCATTTGAGGCAGATATTATTACCTACATTTTAAAGATGAGGAATCTGAGACTTAAATAAATGAAGTAATTCTTTCCAGGTAACATTGCTTTTAAGTGGTAGAAGCATGATAAAAATCCTAGGCCTAACTGGTTCCAAAAACCATGCTCTACTCTTTCTATTATACCAAACTGCCTTTCAGGAGGTTTGCTATACTATCCCATACTTAGAGTAAACAAAGACAGGTTGCTTTAAGAGTGAATGTGTCTAGTGCCTAGCGGCACCTCAACTAAACTTCCCTAAACGGGGTCTACGATTATCCCAAATACAAATATAATGAACACTGCCTATAGAGAATCACATCATAATTTCTCATTATATTTTTAGTCCGCATCTTCACATATACTTTTTACCACCACTTTTAAGTTTCAATAGATGCTTCAGTACAAAATTCTGATATTTTATAAATAATGTGTGTATACTTTATACTTCTCAGGGTTCACTTTTTCAGACATGATATATTTTTATTATCATAGCAGATTCCCATATCATTTATACACAAGGTTAAGGTACATACACCAGAAGGCTTTTCATAGCAAGATGTCCAGAATTTTAAGAAATGAAGAATGCATGATGATTTAGAAAGAAGTTTTTACTTTAAGTTGGAGTAAAAAGCTTTATATTATGCCATAATTCAGAATGAATAATGTTTAAAAAGTAGCAGAATATTATTTAGTTTAAAGTATATAATGTAAGATCATTTAATTCCTCTTTATTTGCTTTTATCTTTTCACAAATACATTTTAGTTAAAAAAGAATAAAATTATATTAACCTCACCTCCCTAGTATATCGCAGCTATGTACTACTTAAAGGACTCTGTGCCCTTTTGTAACTATGTATTTCTGCTTTCTTATGGCAATTTCTCAATTATCACACTGTCACACTGAATGTCCTGTGTAGGCAGAGACCTTGCATGTTTTCTTACCATTATATTCCATAACGCCTAATACATGGCTGGTATATAAAAGGTGCTCAAAATTTTTGATGAATAAATGAGTGAATAAATTTTAGAAAACTAACATTGAGAAAGGTAATTGAATATTAGCTTTCCAAAGATCATGAGGATTATTAGCAAACAGAGCCAGGCTAGAATTCAGTTCTTCTGTTTCATAGTTGTTCTTTCTCTAAGAGATGCAACTCTGATAAAGGAATATTTTTGGTAATTATATTTGTTTCTATATTGATAAACAGCATACACACAAGAACGTTCATTGTTATTGAAGATTTCAACATCCACAATAAAGGTACTTCTTCCAATACCCTTGCATCTCAGTATCTGTCCTTCTTCTCAAATGATCTTGTCTTCCACCTTGTGGAGGACATTTATTCCCATGTTCATATTCTTGACTAGAAACTGCGATTCCTCCATTATCACAATTTCCAGTACTCTACTCTCTGAGCATCTTATCTTTCAAGCTTGTATGTTATAGTACCCTGATTCCAATAGTCCTATGTTCCCATTAGATCTACAAATCATTGATCTTACCACATTTTCACTGTTCCTCAACTTGTTCCTATCCTGCCTTCTCTACATACTGAGCCTAAATTTCATGCTTATTCATTATAATCAGTGCCTTATATATAACGTCAGTTATCATAACTTCTGTCTCACTGCATCATATATACTTGGTATGCCAAGTCTCTGCCTACTCCTTGACAGAAGTCATGCAGGTGAATGTGCCTAGAGAATAACACTACTATGCTTATAGGTCTCACTTTAATATTAATAACCACTAAGTGAATGAAATGATAATGTTGCTAGGCAATCATACTAAACTTCTATAGTTTATTCTCTCTTCCACTTTCCTAGACAATTATTATACCTTCTCCTCTCTCCTAATGCTTCAACACCTCCCCAGTTCTCATTCTTATCTGAGCACTTTGTTTCCTACTTCAATAAGAAAATAAAACCAGTCAGAAGGGAATTTCTACAAGCTCCTACAACCTACTTCTACTCACTTATCTTCATTCATGGCTATCTATGCTACCTTCTCTCTTGTTAACTATGAATGAATTTCCTACATTCTTGGCCAAAGCAGATCCCTCCACCTGTGTATAATATCCCATCCTCTCAAATACTCAAAAGTTTTGTTCTGCTGATTCCCTCCTCTCTCCTGAAGTTTCATCCTTTCCCACTCTACTGTATCATTTTCATCAAAACAGAATCTTCCTGTTATTTCTTCCATTCTCAATAAACACTACCCTGATTTAATATCCTCTAGTATCATCCTATTTCTCTTTTCCCTTTACAAAAATACTCTTTGTAAAGTAAGCTATATGTCTTGTCTCCATTTTATTTCTTCACATCACTCCACTAAAACGTTTCCCAGTGACCTTCAAGTTGCTAAATCCAATAGTTATTTCTCAGTCCTCATATTACTGGACGTATTAGCAGCATTTGCCACACTTGGTCAATCTCGTCTTCTAAACAATTTCTTCTCTTGGTTTCTAGGACCCACACTCATCTGGTTTTCTACTATCTTTTTGGCCACTTCTACTCAATCTTTCATTTGTACTTTTTTGACTTTGTAAATTTGAGGTGTGCTCAGCACTAAGATTTTTATTTTATGTTATGCCTACTGTTGGAGTGATCTCATGAATTTCATAGTTTTAAATACCATCTATGGGGTGATGGCTCCTCAACTTAAAAGCTCTAGGGTGAAACCCTCCGCTGAACTCCAGACTTGTATATCTAATTGCCTACTTAGCAAATCTACGTTAATATTTAATTTGCTTCTCAAATTAATGCTTACAGAACCCAAGGCAGAACAAGGTGGCAGAACAGAAGCCTCCAACATTCATCCTTCCCACAGGAACATCAAATATAGTAAGTATCTACACACAAAAAAGCATCTTTGTAAGAACCAAAAATCAGATGAGTGATCACAGTATCTGGTCTTAATATCACTGAGACAGGCACTGAAGAGGGTAGTAAAGACAGTCTTCAATTGCTGATGCCACCACTTCCCCAGCCCTTAGTAGTGGCCACATGGTGCAGAGAATTTCCGCGCTTGAGAGAATGAGAATGCACCAATTGTGGAACTGCACATTGGAACTCAGTGCTGCCCTCTCACAGCAGAAATCAACACCAGGAAGAACTCAGCCAGTGATCATGGAGGGAACATTTGACACAGCCCTAGCCAGATGGAAATTGTCCATCCTAGTGGTTGGAAACTGAGTTCCAGCAAGCCTTGCCACTGTGGGGTAAAGTGCTCTGGAGTCCTGCATAAACTTGAAAGGCAGTCTACATCACAAGGACTGCAAATCCTAGGCAGGTCCCGGTGTGCTGACCTCAGAGCCAGTGGATTTGGGGGTTGAGGGGAACATGAAACACTAATTGCAGCAGCCAAGTAAGTAATTGCACCACCTCTCTACCAACCGCAGGCAGTATAACTAGCAATTCTTGGAGAGACTTGTTCCTTCCCCTTGAGAGGAGGAGAGGGGAGAATAAATAGAACTTTGTCTTACAACTTGGACACCAGCTCAGCCACAGTAGGATAGGGGAGCAGGCAGAGTTGTGAGGCTCACATTCCAAGCCCCAGAACCTGGACAACATTTCTAGAAATATACTGGGCCAGAAGGGAACTTTGCTGCCTTGAAGAGAAGGGCCCTGTCCTAGCAGGATTAATCATCTGCTGACTAAGGAGCCCTTGAGCCCTGATTAATCAGCAGTGGTAGCTGGCCAGTACACATCATGGGCCTTGCGTGAGATTCTGTGACACATTGATTTTAGTTGTGACCCAGCATATTCCTAGCTGTGGTGTCTATCCAGAAAGACTCCCTCTGCTTGAGAAAAGGAGAGGGAAAAGCAAAGGGGACTTTGTTTTGCAGCTTAGGTGTGAGCTTGGCCACAGCTTGGTGGGAGAGCACCAAGCAGGCTCTTTGGGTCCCTGATTCTAGGCCTTGGCGCTTGGACAGCATTTATGGACCTTCCCTGGGCCAGAGGGTAGCTCACTGCCCTGAAGGTTGAGTCCCAGGCCTGGAAGCATTCACCAAAAACCGAATGAAGAGCCCTTGGCCCTTGAATGAACATCAGTGTTATCCTGGAAGTATTCCCTGTGGGCCTGGGGAAGTGGTGGCCAGCAGGGGAGACTGCTCTGTCTGTAGAAAGAGGAGAGAACAGTGGGAAGGACTTTGTCTTGTGGTTTGGGTGCCAGATGAGCCATAGTAGAATACAGAATAGAATATATTTATGTGGTTTTCAACTCCAGACCCTGGTTCTCTGGACCTGCCTGGGGAATATGGGAACTTGCTGCCCTAAAGGGAAGGACAGAAGCCTCGCCAGCTTCGCCACTTGCTTACTGTAGAGACCTAAGGCCTTGAGAAAACATAGGCGGTGGCCAGATGTGGTTATACTCGGCCTTGGGTGAGACCAGTGCTATGCTGGCTTCAGGTTTGACCCAGGGCAGTCTCAGTGGTGGTGACTACAGCGGGGGTTGTGTCACTCCGCCCCCAGCTGCAGACAGCTCAGCACAAGGAGAGACTTTGTTTCGGGGAAAGTAAAGGAAGAGAACAAAAGTCTCTGGCTGGTAATCCAGATAATACTTTGAGATCATATCCAAGACCAGCAAGCTGGTACATAATACAAGTTTTCAAGAACCACAGTGTTACTGGGCTTGGGGTGTTCTCTAGCACAGATAAGGCTTCAGTAACTAAAAACTTAGATCACAACACCCAAGTTCCTTCGAATATCTGGAAAACCTTCCCATGGAGGATAGATACAAATGAGCCCACACGATGAAGACTACAATAAATACCTAACTCTGCAATGCCCAGAAATTGGGGGATATCTACAAGCATCAAGAGCAACCAGTAAAATCTGACCGCACTACAAAAGGTATATAAGGCATCAGGAACCAATCCCATGGAGGGAGATGTGCCCCCTAAGAAGACCCTTGGCTGCAATCTTTGACATTGGAACTGTCTGCATTCTTCATCTGGGAACTTCGATACTTAAAGCTGCCACATGATGTAAACTATGCTTAGTTATTTAACAACCAGTTTTACTCACCATGGATCAAGACAGAGTAGCTTTGCATACTTATGAAATTATCCATTTTGATAAGAGTTGTTTACCTTTTTTCTTTCCTTTTAGTTGATAAATGCTTACTGGATCTCTAGAGGACTACAAATGACTGAGGCTGGTTGGTCCGGAATTGTAGATTGAACATTTTAATTTTTCTTAGCATTTTAGCACTTTGGTTTTTTCCCCATTGTCTTCTCACATAAGAATTGAACAGCTAAACTCTAGTTTTTTTCAATATGCAGTTTTTCATGTAGTGCCCTGTTGATTTTGTTTTCATATGAACCAAACACCTAATCTTCTCTAAATTGATTCATTAAGCAGTTCACAAAATTAAAATGATTTAATTTCTGAATCCACACTGGGCAAGGATAGGTAGGAAGAAAAATTCCTCCTTGTATACTGAGTTATCTTTATTAATAACGATCCTACAACTAAAATTTGAAGTGAAATTTACCAAGTTTTGCTATTTTATTTTTTTAGATTTTTTATTTTTATTTTTTTTATTATACTTTAAGTTCTAGGGTACATGTGCACAATGTGCATGTTTGTTACATATGTATACATGTGCCATGTTGGTGTGCTGCACCCATTAACTCGGTATTTACATCAGGTGTATCTCCTAATGCTATCCCTCCCCACTCCTCCCACCCCACAACAGGCCCCAGTGTGTGATGTTCCCCTTCCTGTGTCCAAGGGTTCTCATTGTTCGATTCCCACCTATGAGTGAGAACATGCCATTGTGATAGTTTGCTGAGAATGATGGTTTCCAGCTTCATCCATGTCCCTACAAAGGACATGAACTCATCCTTTTTTATGGCTGCATAGTATTCCATGGTGTATATGTGCCACATTTTCTTAATCCAGTCTATCATTGATGGACATTTGGGTTGGTTCCAAATCTTTGCTACTGTGAATAGTGCTGCAATAAATATATGTGTGCATGTGTCTTTATAGCAGCATGATTTATAATCCTTTGGGTATATGCCCAGTAATGGGATGGTTGGGTCAAATGGTATTTCTAGTTCTAGATCCCTGAGGAATTGCCACACTGACTTCCACAATGGTTGAACTAGTTTACAGTCCCACCAACAGTGTAAAAGCGTTCCTATTTTTCCACATCCTCTCCAGCACCTGTTGTTTCCTGACTTTTTAATGATCACCATTCTAACTGGTGTGAAGTGGTATCTCACTGTGGTTTTGATTTGCATTTCTCTGATGGCCAGTGATGATGAGCATTTTTTCATGTGTCTTTTGTTTGCATAAATGTCTTCTTTTGAGAAGTGTCTGTTCATATCCTTCACCCACTTGTTGATGGGGTTGTTTGTTTTTTTCTTGTACATTTGTTTAAGTTCTTTGTAGATTCTGGATATTAGCCCTTTGTCAGATGGGTAGATTGCAAAAATTTTCTCCCATTCTGTAGGTTGCCTGTTCACTCTGATGGTAGTTTCTTTTGCTGTGCAGAAGCTCTTTAGTTTAATTAGATCCCATTTGTCAATTCTGGCTTTTGCTGCCATTGCTTTTGGTGTTTTAGACATGAAGTCCTTGCCCATGCCTATGTCCTGAATGGCATTGCCTAGGTTTTCTTCTAGGGTTTTTATGGTTTTAGGTCTAACATTTAACTCTTTAATCCATCTTGAATTGATTTTTGTATAAGGTGTAAGGAAGGGATCCAGTTTCAGCTTTCTATATATGGCTAGCCAGTTTTCCCTGCACCATTTATTAAATGGGGAATCCTTTCCCCATTTCTTGTTTTTCTCAGGTTTGTCAAGGATCAGATAGTTGTAGATGTGTGGTATTATTTCTGAGGGCTCTGTTCTTTTCCATCGGTCTATATCTCTGTTTTGATACCAGTACCATACTGTTTTGGTTACTGTAGCCTTGTAGTATAGTTTGAAGTCAGGTAGTGTGATGCCTCCAGCTTTGTTCTTTTGGCTTAGGATTGTCTTGGCAATGCGGGCTCTTTTTTGGTTCCATATGAACTTTAAAGTAGTTTTTTCCAATTCTGTGAAGAAAGTCATTGGTAGCTTGATGGGGATGGCATTGAATGTATAAATTACCTTGGGCAGTATGGCCATTTTCACAATATTGATTCTTCCTATCCATGAGCATGGAATATTCTTCCATTTGTTTGTGTCCTTTTTTATTTCATTGAGCAGTGGTTTGTAGTTCTCCTTGAAGAGGTCCTTCACATCCCTTGTAAGTTGGATTCCTATTTTATTCTCTTTGAAGCATTTGTGAATGGGAGTTCACTCATGATTTGGCTCTCTGTTTGTCTGTTATTGGTGTATAAGAATGCTTGTGATTTTTGCACATTGACTTTGTATCCTGAGACTTTGCTGAAGCTGCTTATCAGCTTCAGGAGATTTTGGGCTGAGACAATGGGGTTTTCTAGATATACAATCATGTCATATGCAAACAGGGACAATTTGACTTCCTCTTTTCCTAATTGAATGCCCTTTATTTCTTTCTCCTGCCTGATTGCCCTGGCCAGAACTTCCAACACTATGTTGAATAGGAGTGGTGAGAGAGGGCATCCCTGTCTTGTCCCAGTTTTCAAAGGGAATGCTTCCAGTTTTTGCCCATTCAGTATGGTACTGGATATAGGTTTGTCATAAACAGCTCTTATTATTTTGAGATACCTTCCATCAATACCTAATTCATTGAGAGTTTTTAGCATGAAGGGCTGTTGAATTTTGTCAAAGGCCTTTTCTGCATCTATTGAGATAATCATGTGGTTTTTGTCTTTGGTTCTGTTTATATGCTGGATTATGTTTATTGATTTGCATATGTTGAACCAGCCTTGCATCCCAGGGATGAAGCCCACTTGATCATGGTGGATAAGCTTTTTGATGTGCTGCTGGATTCGGTTTGCCAGTATTTTATTGAGGATTTTTGCATCGATGTTCATCAGGGATATTGGTCTAAAATTCTCTTTTTTTGTTGTGTCTCTGCCAGGCTTTGGTATCAGGATGATGCTTGCCTCATAAAATGAGTTAGGGAGGATTCCCTCTTTTTCCCTCTTTTTCTATTGATTGGAATAGTTTCAGAAGGAATGGTACCAGCTCCTCCTTGTACCTCTGGTAGAATTCCACTGTGAATCCATCTGGTCCTGGACTTTTTTTGGTTGGTAAGCTATTAATTATTGCCTCAATTTCAGAGCCTGTTATTGGTCTTTTCAGAGATTCAACTACTTTTTTTTTTTGAGATGGAGTCTCGCTCTGTCGCCCAGGCTAGAGTGCCGTGGCACAATCTCGGCTCACTGCAAGCTCCACCTCCCGGGTTCACGCCATTCTCCTGCCTCAGCTTCCCGAGTAGCTGGGACTACAGGTGCCCACCACCATGCCCGGCTAATTTTTTGTGTTTTTGGTAGAGACCGGGTGTCACTGTATTAGCCAGGACGGTCTTGATCTCCTGACCTTGTGATCTGCCTGCCTCGGCCTCACAAAGTGCTGGGATTACAGGCGTGAGCCAATGCGCCCGGCCCAAGTTTTGCTGTTTATTAATGGGAATGATAGCAATGAGAAACAGTTTATTTGGAGGACAAATGATTTTGATTTTTTAAAAATCAGTACTTTTATATATATGAAGATACACTAGTTATTCAGTGACCTGGTGGCTATAAACTGTGTCTTCTTTTCTAGAAGAAAGAAGGCACTCATCAGCCAAGGGCAGTTCTCTGGAGACTGAGTAATTTGTGAGCTGTTAGAGGCCAACATTTATAGTGGCTGAAAGATAGATATGCTCACCTCATAAAGTGAGTCTGCATGAAGCATCACAGAGTTTGCTGCAGTTGGAAAAGGGTATGAGAAATATCTCTAAAATCGTGGAATGTCATATAAAGTAGCTTTTAAAATTATAAATTAATAGAAGGGGCACTGTTCAAAATTTGAGTAGTTTTAAAGCAAATTTAAAAGTACTACCTTGGATCTGTTCCAAGATGGCCGAATAGGAACAGCTCCAGTCTGTAGCTCCCAGCGTGATCGATGCAGAAGATGGGTGATTTCTGCATTTCCAACTGAGGTACATGGTTCACCTCACTGGGACTGCTTGGACAGTGGGTGCAGCCCATGGAAGGCGAGCTGAAGCAGGGTGGGGCATCCCCTCACCCAGGAAGCCAAGGGGTCGGGGGATTTCCCTTTCCTGGCCAAGGGAAGCCGTGAAAGACTGTACCAGGAAAATTGCGACACTCCTGCCTTAATACTGCACTTTTCTAATGGTCTTAGCAAATGGCACACCAGGAAATTATATCCTGTGCATGGCTCAGTCAGTCCCACGTCCACGGAGCCTTGCTCACTGCTAGTGCAGCAGTCCCAGATTGAACTGCGAGGCAGCAGCCTGGCAGTGGGGGGGGGGCGTCCGCCATTGCTGAAGTTTGAGTAGGTAAACAAAGTGGCCAGAAGCTTGAACTGGGTGGAGCCCACCACAGCTCAAGGAGGCCTGCCTGCCTCTGCAGACCCCTCCTCTGCAGACCCCTCCTCAGGACACACCTAAACAAAAGGTAGCAGAAACTTCTGCAGACTTAAACGTACCTGTCTGACAGCAGTGAAGAGAGCAGTGTTCTCCCAGCACAGTGTTTGAGCTCTGAGAACGGACTGCCTCCTCAAGTGGGTCCCTGACCCCCGTGTAGCCTAACTGGGAGACACCTCCCAGACACACCCCAGTAGGGGCCGACTGACACCTCATACAACCGGGTGGTCCTCTGAGACAAAGCTTCCAGAGGAAGGATCAGGCAGCAATATTTGCTGTTCTGCAATATTTGCTATTCTGCAGCCTCTGTTGGTGATACCCAGGCAAACAGGGTCTGGAGTGGACCTCCAGAAAACTCCAATAGACCTGCAGCTGAGGGACCTGACTGTTAGAAGGAAAACTAACAAACAGAAAGGAATAGCATCAACATCAACAAAAAGGACATCCACACCAAAATCCCATGTGTAGGTCACCATCATCAAAGATCAAAGGTAGATAAAACCACAAAGATGGGGAGAAACCAGAGCAGAAAAGCTGAAAATTCTAAAAACCAGAGCACCTCTACTCAAAGGATTGCAGCTCCTCGCCAGCAACGGAATAAAGCTGGACAGAGAATGACTTTGACAAGTTGACAGAAGTAGGTTTCAGAAGGCTGGTAATAACAAACTTCTCCGAGCTAAAGAAGGATGTTCGAACTCATTGCAAGGAAGCTAAAAACCTTGAAAAAAGATTAGATGAATGGCTAACTAGAATAAAGTGTAGAGAAGACCTTAAATGACCTGATGGAGCTGAAAACCATGACATGAGAACTACATGACGCATGCACAAGCTTCAGTAGCTGATTCAATCAAGTGGAAGAAAGGGTATCAGTGATTGAAGATCAAATGAATGAAATGAAGCAAGAAGAGAAGTTTAGAGAAAAAAAGAGTAAAAAGAAATGAACAAAGCATCCAAGAAATATGCGACTATGTGAAAAGACCAAATCTACATTTGATTGGCATACCTGAAAGTGATGGGGAGAATGGAACCAAGCTGGAAAACACTCACCAGGATATTATCCAGGAGAACTTCCCCAACCTAGCAAGGCAGGTCAACATTCAAATTCAGGAAATACAGAGAACACCACAAAGATACTCCTCGAGAAAAGCAACCCCAAGACACAATTGTCAGATTTACCAAGGTTGAAATGATGGAAAAAATGTTAAGGGCAGCAAGAGAGAAAGGTCAGGTTCCCCACAAAGGGAAGCCTATCAGACTAACAGCAGATCTCTCAGCAGAAACTCTACAAGCCAGAAGAGAGTGGGGGCCAATATTCAACATTCTTAAAGAAAAGAAGTTTCAACCCAGAATTTCATATCCAGCCAAACTAAGCTTCATAAGTGAAGGGGAAATAAAATCCTTCACAGACAAGCAAATGCTGAGAGAATTTGTCACCACCAGGCCTGCCTTACAAGAGCTCCTGAAGGAAGCACTAAACATGGAAAGGAACAACTGGTACCAACTACTCCATAAACATGCCAAATTGTAAAGACCATTGATGGTAGGAAGAAACTGCATCAACTAACGGGCAAAATAAGCAGCTAACATCATGATGACAGGATCCAATTCACATATAACAATATTAACCTTAAACGTAAATGGGCTAAATGCCCCAATTAAAAGACACAGACTGAAAAATTGGATAAAGATTCAAGACCCATCAGTGTGCTGTATTCAGGAGACCCATTTCACATGCAAAGACACACATAGACTCAAAATAAAGGGATGGAGGAAGATCTACCAAGCAAATGGAAAGCAAAAAAAAGCAGGGGTTGCAATCCTAGTCTCTGATAAAACAGACTTTAAACCAACAAAGATCAAAACAGACAAAGAAGGCCATTACATAATGGTAAAGGGATCTATTCAACACAAAGAGCTAACTGTCCTAAATATATATGCGCCCAATACAGGAGCACCCAATTCATAAAGCAAGTTCTTAGAGACCTACAAAGAGACTTAGACTCCCACACAATAATAATGGGAGAGTTTAACACCCCACTGTCAATATTAGACAGATCAATGAGACAGAAGGTTAACAAGGATACCCAGGATTTGAACTCAGCTCAGCACCAAGCAGACGTAATAGACATCTACAGAACTCTCCACCAAAAATCAACAGAATATACATTCTTCTCAGCACCACATCACACTTATTCCAAAACTGACCACATAGTTGGAAGCAAAGCACTCCTCAGGAAATGTAAGAGAACAGAAATCAAAACAAACTGTCTCTCACACTACAGTGCAATCAAATTAGAACTCAGGATTAAGAAACTCACTCAAAACCACACAGCTATATGGAAACTGAACAACCTGCTCCTGAATGACTACTGGATACATAATGAAATGAAAGCAGAAATAAAGATGTTCTTTGAAACCAATGAGAACAAAGGCACAACATACCAGAATCTCTGGGACACATTTAAAGCACTGTGTAGAGGGAAATTTATAGCACTAAATGCCCACAAGAGAAAGCAGGAAAGATCTAAAATTGACACCCTAACATCACAATTAAAAGAACTAGAGAAGCAAGAGCAAACAAATTCAAAAGCAAGCAGAAGACAAGAAATAACTAAGATCAGAGCAGAACTGAAGGAGAAAGAGATACAAAAAACCCTTCAAAAAAATCAATGAATCCAGGAGCCGGTTTTTTGAAAAGATCAACAAAATGTATAGGCCACTAGCAAGAATAATAAAGAAGAAAAGAGAGAAGAATCAAATAGGTGCCATAAAAATGATAAAGGGGATATCACCACAGATCCCACAGAAATACAAACTACCATCAGAGAATACTGTAAACACCTCTATGCAAATAAACTAGAAAATCTAGAAGAAATGGATAAATTCCCTGACACATACACCCTCCCAAGACTAAACCAGGAAGATGTTGAATCCCTGAATAGACCAATAACAGGCTCTGAAACTGAGGCAATAATTAATAGCGTACCAACCAAAAAAAGTCCAGGACCAGATGGATTCACAGCCGAATTCTACCAGAGGTACAAAGAGGAGCTGGTACCATTCCTTCTGAAACTATTCCAATCAATAGAAAAAGAGGGAAAAAGAGGGAATCCTCCCTAACTCATTTTATGAGGCCAGCATCATCCTGATACCAAAGCCTGGCAGAGACACAACAAAAAAAGAGAATTTCAGACCAATATCCCTGATGAATAGCGATATGAAAATCCTCAATAAAATACTGGCAAACCGAATTCAGCAGCACATCAAAAAGCTTATCCACCAAGATCAAGTTGGCTTAATCCCTGGGATGCAATGCTGGTTCAACATATGCAAATCAATAAACGTAATCCATCATATATACAGAACCAAAGACAAAAACCACATGATTATCTCAATAGAATGCAGAATGGAATGCAGAATAGAATGCAGAAAAGGCCTTTTCTGCAAGAGAATGCAGAAAAGGCCTTTTCTGCAAGAGAATGCAGAAAAGGCCTTCGACAAAATTCAACAGCCCTTCATGCTAAAAACTCTTAATAAACTAAGTATTGATGGAACGTATCTCAAAATAATAAGAGCAATTCATGAGAAACCCACAGCCAATATCATAATGAATGGGCAAAAACTGGAAGCATTCCCTTTGAAAACTGACATAAGACTGGGATGCCTTCTCTCACCACTCCTATTCAACATAGTGTTGGAAGTTCTGGCCAGGCAATCAGGCAAGAGAAAGAAATAAAGGGTAATCAATTAGGAAATGAGGAAGTTAAATTGTCTCTGTTTGCAGATAGGAAAAAACTACTTTAAAGTTCATATGGAACCAAAAAAGAGCCTGCATTGCAAAGACAATCCTAAGCCAAAAGAACAAAGCTGGAGGCATCACGCTACCTGACTTCAAGCTATACTACAAGGCTACAGTAACCAAAACAGCATGGTACTGCTACCAAAACAGAGATATAGCCTAATGGAACAGAACCAAGGCCTCAGAAATAACACCAGACATCTACAGCCATCTGATCTTTGACAAACCTGACCAAAATAAGAAATGGGGAAAGGATGCCCTATTTAATAATGGTCCTGACAAAAATAAGAAATGGGGAAAGGATGTCCTATTTAAAAAAATGGAAAACTGGCTAGCTATATGTAGAAAGCTGAAACTGTATCCCTTCCTTACCCCTTATACAAAAATTAATTTAAGATGGATTAAAGACTTCAATCTTAGACCTAAAACCATAAAAACCCTAGAAGAAAACCTAGGCAATACCATTCAGGACATAGGCATGGGTAAGGACTTCATGTCTAAAACACCAAAAGCAATGGCAACAAAAGCCAAAATTGACAGATTGGATCTAATTAAACTAAAGAGTTTCTGTACAACAAAAGAAACTGCCATCAGAGTGAAGAGGCAACCTACAAAATGGGAGACCATTTTTGCAATCTACCCATCTGACAAAAGGCTAACATCCATAATCTACAAAGAACTTAAACAAATTTACAAGACAAAATCAAACAACCCCATCAAAAAGTGGGCAAAGGATATGAACAGACACTTCTCAAAAGAAGATATTTATGCAGCCAAAGGACACATGAAAAAATGCTCATCATCACTGGTCATCAGAGACATGTAAATCAAAACCACAATGAGATACCATCTCACACCAGTTAGAATGGCGATCATTAAAAAGTCAGGAAACCACAGGTGCTGCTGAGGATGTGGAGAAATAGGAACGCTTTTACACTGTTGGTGGGAGTGTAAACTAGTTCAACCATTGTGGAAGACAGTGTGGCGATTCCTCAAGGATCTAGAATTAGAAATATCATTTGACCCAGGGACCCCATTACTGGGTATATACCCAAAGGATTATAAATCATGCTACTATAAAGACACATGCACACGTATGTTTATTGTGGCACTATTCACAACAGCAAAGACATGGAACCAACCCAAATGTCCATCAATGATAGACTGGATTAAGAAAATGTGGCACATATACACCATGGAACACTATGCAGCCATAAGAAATGATGAGTTCATGTCCTTTGTAGGGACATGGATGAAGCTGGAAACCATCATTCTGAGGAAACTATTGCAAGGACAGAAAACCAAACACCACATGTTCTCACTCATAGGTGGGAACTGAACAATGAGTACACTTGGACACAGGGCGGGGAACATCACACACTGGGGCCTGTCGTGGAGTGGGTATATGGGGGAGGGATAGTATTAGGAGAAATACCTAACGTAAATGATGAGTTAATGGGTGCAGCAAACCAACATGGCACATGTATACTTATGTAACAAACCTGCATGTTGTGCACATGTACCCTAGAACTTAAAGTATAATTTTCAAAAAGTACTGTTTTGCATAATGATTAATGATTATCACTAATCTAGCAACATTATAATCAATTAATATAAAAGTTAAGTTTGGGTAAGTATATGAATTAAAATCATTGCCAATTATTTGATAGGAAGTTGTAATAATCCTACCCTTTAAGATTATTATCTGCAAGGATGACTTTCACTGGGAGTGTCTATTGGCAATAAAGACTAAACATGAAAAAAATAAAAATTGGGGAAATAATCAAAGTGACCCCAGCAGCCCCTATAATAGTCATTATCCCTACTGATAGTGTCCTCTCCCTGACTCAGGTGCTCACTATATTCTTAACATATCTTGAATTTCCTATTGTAATTAACTATGTATCATGATCTAGGAAGTAAACTGTTAAATATTTATTATGAGTGCTAAAATGGAAGTGAAGATATATAAATAATTCAAAACAATGGATAATAACCCAAAGTGCTATGTTTGACCTTAAAATATATTACAGATCTCTGACAGAAAATTCACTTTTCTATGGGACTTTCTGATTAGAGAATATAAGATTAAATTTTATTCCTTGAATATACATACATCGGCTACTCAGCAAGAAAAACCTACATGGGGAGAGCTAAAATCCAGCAGGGATTTTATGTACAAAATAATCAGCACATGAACAATAGAGATCCAATAACATGATAATATTAGCCAATTTAAAAATAGTTTTTTAAAACACATATGCTTATTGCACATTCTGTTAAATTTAAAAAGAATGTTTGACCAAAGATGGCCTAGACACGAGAAATTAGGAGAGGATGTTAATATTTACTACAATACATAAAGGAAAGTAACATGCTAAAGAAAAAGATGAATTTCAGCCATCAGTGTTTAAATAAAAGACATAATTATCTGACTATAGCCATCTAGCAGATATATTTTTATGTATATACTATTAACGAATTATGATAGAAAACAGAAATACTGTAAAGTACAGAAACTTTTCAGTACTTTATTGATTTTATAAATGAAGATTAACAAAAAAAGATTTAAAATTCAGTATTTACTTCTTGTTCTTTAAACAGAGGAAAATTAAAATCAAATGGAATAAACAATTGGGCCATAAACGTTAATTACTACAAGTAGTGAAATATACCAAACTGTCTTAGAGAGCTATCATATACTCCTCAAAGAAAAAAAAAACACTGAAACTTCTTATCTAGCCCAACAGTGTGAACATTTCAGAAAACTGTTGTTATCCAATTTACTATCTAGACACATAAAAATATATTTCAATCAAATAAAAATGAAACAGCATATGGCAAATAGTACTTATTGCCTTACTTATTACAAGCAGGTATTCCATTTCACCAGAATCATCAATAAATACAAAGCTACAATCTTAAGAGAATAAAAATACCAACAGCACTCTACAAAGAGGGCTATGTTTATCAGAACTCTGTAGGCTAGATACTTGAGTTTTCACATTATTTGTCACTAAAGGTTTCTGCTTTTTGTTAAGAAATACTATGAAATAATTATCACATAAGCTTTCACTAAAAATTAACATGAGTTGTATCAACATCATAGAAACAGTGTTTTCCATGGAGAAGTTTCTTGTCCAGAAATGAGTACACAAAGGAGGTAGAAAATAAAGAGAAAAAAAGCAAATGGATGAAAAGGTCACCTGAATTAAACTGACTGAAAATATACATGGACAAATTGTAGAAAATACAATTAGAAACCTGTAAACAATGAGGACTTTTTCAGTGCAGCAAAACTTATAAAGTTATCATGTCTTCAATATTGCAAACCACATGCTTATTGAGCACCTATTACAATAAGACACTTTAGGGACCACAAAAAAATAAGGCACTGTCCTTGCCTACTAAGAATTTACAAGCAAGCTAGGAAAATAAGATATATACACCCGAAAGGTCAACTAGCAACACAAGCAGTGCATACAATTAAATATACAATTAACTGCACAGAAAATGAGTATAACAGCTAAGAGAACAGAGAGAATGAGTATGATCAGAAAAGGTTTCTATGTATGAAATTTAAGTTTTGTTTTGAAAGATAGGTAGAATTCTGATAAATGGGTAACAGAGATGAAGTGAATATTCCAGAAAAGAAAAAAATTTAAACTACAAGTGGAAACAGAATGCAAGACAATAGCAATGAAAGAACAGAAATGGAATACACAAAGCATGCATGTGGGAGGAAATGAAAAAATCAGACAGGTTTATATAGACAATAGAATAATTGTAGGACACCAAGTTGAAAATACAGGTTGATCATCCAAAATCCAAAAATCTGAAATCTGAAATGCTCCAGAATCCAAAACGTTCTGAGAGCTGACATGACACCCCCCAAAAATGGTCAATAGAGCATTTCTTATTTTCAGATTTAGGATGCTTAACCAGTAAAATGCAAATATTCCAAAGTCCAAAAAAATCTGTAATCTGAAACCCTTCTTGTCCTAAGCATTTTGGATAAGGAATACTCAACCTCTATATCTATATGTTAGGTTTCATCTTGTAGGTCACAGGGAGACCTAAAGTTTCTGAGTATGAAAGTGAACCATTAAAAATGATGCTTTTAACTGCAACAAAAGCAAAAATTGACAAATGAGATCTAATTAAACTTTTGCATGGCAAAACTATCAACACCTTTACTGATCATGAGAGAAACGTAAATCAAAACCACAATGAAATACCATCTCACAACAGTCAGAATGGATAAAAAGTAAAAAAAAAATCACCAAACAAGTGCTGGCAAGGTTGTGGAGAAAAAGGAATGCTTATATACTGCTGGTGGGAGAGTAAATTAGTTCAACAATTGTTGAAAACAGTGTGGCAATTCCTCAAAAACCTAAGAACACAACTGCCACTTGAGCCAGCAACAGCAATCCCATTACTGAGTATATATCCAAAGGAATATAAATCTTCTATCATGCGCACGTGTGTTCATTGCAGCACTATTCACAATAGAAAATACATGGAATCAACCTAAATGCCTGCCCATCAATGGTAGACTGGATAAAGAAAATGTGGTGTATATACACCATGGAATACTACGCAGCCAAAAAAAGCACAAGATCATGTCCTTTGCAGGTACATGGTTGGAATTGGAGGTCATTAACCTTAGCAAACTAATGTGGGAACAGAAAACCAAATACCACATGTTCTCACTTATAAGTGGGAGCTAAATGATGAGAACAAATGGACACATAGGGGAAACAACACACAATGAGGCCTTTCAGAGGGTCGAGGGTGGAGGGTGGAAGGAGGGAGAGCTACAGGAAAATAACTAATCAGTACTAGGCTTAATACCTGGGTGACAAAGTAGTCTATAAAACAAACCCAATGACATATGAGTTTACCTACATAACAAACCTGCACATGTACCCCTGAACTTAAAAGTTTAAAAAATGCTTTTGTGAAGATTAATCTAAAAAATATACATGAAATATATTAGATGGGTAACAGACAAAAGCCCAGGAGCATGATAACAGCAAAGAGAAAACAGAAAAATGGGGAGATGCCAAGCATTATAGCTTTAGAAACAATTGCACTTGGTGATGTGACTAAATATATATGGGAGATCAGGAGAGAAGGATTAACCAAGAGGAATAGATATATAGCTTTGGTCAAATTATTTAACCTTCCTGTGCCTCATTTTCCTTATCTATTATAAGAAGATTCTCCAGAGTTCACTCCAAATTCAAATCTAAGTCCAGCCTCATGACTAAAAGAACAATGGAAATGACGCTAATTAATAACCCTACAATGGCCTCTAAATGGTCAACCAAAAGGAAGAGTCACATGTCTCTCACCTTAAATCACAAGTTAAAAACAATTAAGCTTAGTGAATAAGGCATTTCAAAAGCTACAACAGGTCGAAAATTGGAAGCAGATCATAATCCAAAAAGACATGATCCTGAATGCCAAGATCCCAAATATTGAAATTCTGAGAAATCAAAATCCCTAAACTATAAAGTCCAGAACATCACAATCCTGAATGATCAAAATCCTGGAAATGTAATTCTGAAAAAAATAATTTTAAAAATTATTTTTAAAAATGTATATTTACATTTTAAAAGGGGATCTTATTTGAGAAACATATACACATGACAGGATACTTCAGAGGCCACTTTACACAATGAAATAGGCAATAGCAACATACATATTTTTGCAATACTAGTGACAGTCGTGTAGGTATAACAGTTAAGAGCAGACAAATTGTATTGATTAAGATATAGGCAAAAAGGGAAATGTATAAATACATATCACTATGGTTGATTATTGTGTGCATCTAGCTTTGTAACTTTGGTAATATGAAATACAGTAACAAGCAACCTAATCCTTTTTTTTTTTTTTTTTTGAGATAGAGTCTCGCTCTGTTGCCCAGGCTAGAGTGCAGTGGTGAGATCTTGGCTCACTGCAACCTCCACCTCCCAGGTTCAAGCGATTCTCCTGCCTCAGCCTCCTGAGTAGCTGGGATTACAGGTGCGTGCCACCACGCTCGGATAGTTTTTGTATTTTTAGTAGAGACGGGGTTTCACCATGTTGGTCAGGCTGTTCTCGAACTCCTGACCTCAAGTGATCTGCACGCCTCAGCCTCCCAAAGTGCTGGGATTACAGGAATGAGCCACCGCACCTGGCTCAACCTAATACTTTTTATGAGATCAATCAAAATCCATGATGGTTCAACATTACATATGCAATCATCCCACGAGACGAGATCTCTAGAAATTTTATCTTTCACAAATACAGATATACAATAAAGACTTCTCTTCATTTATTGAAGAAGTTGCAATGTTTTTATATATACACACAATGCTTACACACAGTATCATGATAATGCGCTTTTGTGAAGTTAAATTTGCAAAAATAAATACACAAAATGAATTAAAATTCTCTAAAGTCTCTACCCAATTTATACCTATAGTATTGAAAATAATGTGAAGATGAAATACATAGTATAGCAAATTGCTTTACCAGGTTTCTAGGTATTCCTGAATCCAGTCAGGTCTACAAGTCCACCCCTTGTCAACTTGACACCCTTAAACCATCTCCTTAAACCATACTTAATTTACACATAAAGACAACTAAAAGGTTACAGTTCTGCCTAAAATAATGCAAGTATCTTCTGATTGGGATTTTTGGAATTTTAGATGTTAGAAATTGAAGACTTCAGTAATTTAAACTTCAGGGAATTTGCTCTTTCAGGATTTTGATCAACATTTGGTATCATGGCATTCAGGATTTAGTCTTTTGGGACTGTGATGATCCAACTCCTGTAAACTAAGCCTCTTGCCCCAAATAGCCAATTTATGAATGCAAATACAAAGCTATTAAAGGACATTAAAAGTGATACTCCAGTGAACACACCAGTGATAAGAAATGTGAATGCAATGATAAGAAAGCGTAAGAGCCTTATTGTTGATATGGAGAAAGTTTTAGTGGTCTGGATAGAAGTTCAAAGAAGCCACAACATTCCCTTGAATGAAAGCCTAATCCAAAGCAAGGCCCCAACTCTTTTCAATTCAATGAAGGCTGAGAGCAGTGAGGATGCTACAGAAGAAATGTCTGAAGCTAGCAGAGGTTGGTTCATGAGGTTTAAGGAAAGAAGCTATCTCCAAAACACAAACATGCAAAGTGAAGCAAGTGCTGAAGGAGAAGCTGCGGGAAGATCTAAGATAATTGATGAAGGTGGCTACACTAAACAAAATATTTTCAGTGTAGATGAAAAAGCCTTCTATTGGAAGAAGATCTAATCTATGAGTTGCATAGCTGTAGAAGAGAAGTCAGTGCCTAGCTTCAAAGCTTCAAAGGACAGGCTGACTCTCCATTGTTAGGGGATAATGCAGCTGGTGACTTTAAGTTGAGGCCAATGCTCTTTTACCATCCTGAAAATCCTAGAATCCTTACTAATTATGATAAATGTACTCTTTCTATGCCCTATAAATAGAAAAACAAAGCCTGGATGATAGTCTGTATGTCTATAGCATGGTTTAGAGGATATTTGAAGCCCACTGTTAAGACCTCCTGCTCAGAAAAAAAAGATTTCTCTCAAAATAGTACTTCCAAGTTCCCAGGTAATGCTGACACTGCCAGTCTAGGGATCATACTTTGAGAAAGTCTCTCTTAGGAGGTAAGAAGCAGCTCAACAAAATGGAATCATTATACACTTCCATTGGGAATGGTTCTCATGATATTCCCAAATACTCAAGAAATTATTCTCCTTATCACTGCTGAATAACTAAGTTTTGTGAAATTTTACATGAGCAAGTGAAATCAAAGAATTATATAGTTTCATATAGAGTTATAGTTGTTTCCTCCTCTGGTTTCCTTAGCACATTGACATATACATATTTTTTCATATTGTTAAAAACCTCATATTGTATTGTCATATCATTTGTTTACAAGTTTGTCTCCTTCATTAGACCCTCAAGTCCTAGAAGTAACAACATATCTTATTTATCTTTTATTGCCAATGTCTATCAATTCTGTAAGTATACTAAAAAAAAACCAATGAGATAGCACATTTGCTTAAAGTAGGAATTAAAAAATAAATATAAACAAAGATTTATGCACAGATATTTACTGAAACTTAAGCCTCTAGTAAAAGTCAGACACATTTTAGATAACAGACTATTAAGCAGCCATTTAAAGTCATGTTAAAATATTACTTAATAGTATTGAAAAACATTCAAGATGTTAAAACTGTATGCAAAATTGCATATAATATGATCCAAATTGTGAAACATATGCTATACATATACACATGAGTAGAAAACTATTGGGAAAAATATAAATTGTATATCTTGTGGTGATTTTTAAAGACTTTTTCTGTATTTTCAACAATTAACATGTATTTTATAATCAGAAAAGTACTTTAAGTCAAAAAAGTATATAATAATTTCATGATCCACTCAAGGTTTAATTGTAGCGTATCACATCAGAGTTGAATGCAAACAATTTGGCTGTTTTTTTATTTGCCTCCTATAATTAATAAAGGTTTGTGGGCCAGGCATGGTGGTTCACATCAGTAATCCCATCACTTTGGAGGTCAAGACAGGAAGAATACTTGAGGCCAGGAGTTCGAGACCAGCATGGGTTACACAGTGAGACTCTATCTCTACCAAAAACAAATTTTAAAAAATTAAAAAAAAAACATAGTTGGGTGTGGTGGCACGTACTTGTTACCCCAGCTACTCAGGAGGCTGAGGTGGAAGGATCCCTTGAGCCCAGGAGTTTGAGGCTATAGTGAGCTATGGTCTGATCTTGTCACTGCACTCCAGTCTGAGAGACAGCAAGAGCGTCTCTCTAAAAAATAAAAATAAAAATAAATAAATGCTTATGAAGAAACTACCGTCATCCCTTGGTATCTTTTGGGGACTGATTCAAGGACACTGCCCCCTGAACACCTACAGATATCAAAATCCATAATACTCATGTCCTACAGGCAGCCCTGCCAAACTTGCATATAAGACAAATGGGACCTATGTATCTATGGTTTCACATCTCACTAATACTGTATTTTCCATCTGTATTTAGCTGTAGATGGGGAACCTATAAGTATGGAGGATTAACTACATTTATTTTTTAAAAAATATAGAAGTGAACAAGTGCAACGCAAACCATGTTGTTAAAGGGTCAACTGTACTCTAGGTAACAATAATATTAGCTGTTGGGGATAAACAGTATTTTGACCTGTTTTTCTTTGGAACTTACCAATTGACATATAAAGTTTCCTTCTAAATGCTAGCTAACTCATTTCAAATGTTAGGGATCTGGCATTTTTTCTGTCTTGATCTTTCACTGTTGTATTTTTCAAAATTCCCTTTATTTTACACATTCAGAATGGAATGTTTCTTCAGGACAAAGATAAAAATCTAAGTACAATCTAAATACGATTCTCCTTACATTTGGATTTTTATTTTGAATTCCTATTTGAGAACATTTGCATGTGCTATGAAACATCTCTTTCCTTTAAGTCATGATATAGAATAAATACTATTCATGTCCATGAAAAACTTCAAGTTTCTTGATTAAAATGTGTCTAACATAAGTGAAATACCATGCAAAGAAAACAGACACTAATTGAATAATCTAAGCCCTCAAGTCACTTGTACCTGATATCACTGGATAACTGCAGCAAAAATAACCACAATGTGTATACACAAGGGCAAGTCCAGAAATATTTTATATCTCTGGGTTTTCTTGACAGTATCTAGGGAAAGATCTGGCAAAAAAATAAGAGCTGAAGAAATACTTATTGAAATAACATAGACATAATATTGAACTTTTGCCATTCACAAGTGATAGTAACTGGTGTTTTAAAGAAAAAAAAGGTTGATATAAGCAGCAAGTTCCTGATTTCCATGGTCCCCAAGCTTTCTGAGTATGAGGAGCTATTTTAAACACCAAAAAGATTCACACAACCCCACCTGACAGTTGTCATCTTCAGTGTCACTGACTGAATAACTATATAACAATAACACTAATTCAGTAACAGCTCTAAGTAATTCTGTTTTAAAAATATGTACATTTGTATAAGGCATTTTATTCAAGCTACAGTCAATTCTTGTTGCCAATAAAAACATATCAACCTCTTGCAATGACTCAGATCAGTTGGTGGAAGATAATCACTGCTCAAATGTGTACAGCTTTGGCAAAGATATACATAAAATTTAAATCAATTGACTGCAATAAATAATTCTCAAATACCTACGAGGCACCGGGCACTATGACAGACCAACAAGATAAAAGATGAATAGAATCTCTGCCTTCAAAGAGTTCAATAGAGTTGGAAACAATAACCCAAAAAGTATAAATACAACCTGCCAGTAAAAAGAATAATATACAAGAAGGCAGTGCGGAGTGGCCAATAAAAGGTTCCTATGATTGACATCTGAGCCATCTTAAATGAATAGGAATTACTGGGGTTTGAGAAAAGATGGAACTCCAGGCTGAGTGAAAGTCAAGGAGGCCCTCACTGTTCTAGGAAATATAATTCCAGAGTTTGCTGACTCAAACCAGGGAATATGTACAGAGAATGGATCCTGCAGATAAACTTTTCTTCAACTAGTTTCAGAATTATTTCTTCTGGGTAATTTTAAAATTATTTTTATTTTATGGGTACATAGTGTATATATTTATAGAATACATGAAATATTTTGGTACAGGAATGCAACACATAATAATCACATGATAAATGGGATATCTATCTTCTTAAACATTTATCCCTTGTGTTACAAACAATCCAATTATACTCTTTTAGTTATTTTTAAATGTACAATTATTATTGACTGTAATCACCCTGTTGTGCTAGCAAATATTAGAGTTTACTCATTTTTTCTAACTACTTTTTTACCTATTAACCATCACTACTTCCCCCTCTCCAACTCCCACTACCCTTCCTTGTCTCTGATAAACACTTTCTGCTCTTTATCTCCATGAGTTCAACTGTTTCATGTTTTAGTTCCCACAAATGAGTGAGAACATGTGAAGTTTATCTTTCTGTATCTGGCTTATTTTACTTAATGTAATGACCTCCATTTACATTCATGTTGTTTCAATGACAGGATCTCATTCTTTTTTTGTCTGAATAGTACTATATTGTGTATATGTATCACATATTCTGTATCCATTTGTCTGTTCGTGGACACTTAGGTTGCTTCCAAATTTTGGCTATTGTGAACAGTGCTACAACAAACATGGGAGTATAGATATCCCTTCTGTATACTGATTTCCGTTCTTATTGGCATATACCAAGCAGTGAGATTGCTGGATTGTATGGTAGCTCTATTTTTAGTTTCTTGAAGAACCTCCAAACCATTTCCATAGTGGTTTTACTAATTCACATCCCCACCACAGTGTACGAATGTTCCCTTTTCTCTACACCATCATCAAGCATTTGTTGTTACTGTCTTTTGGATAACGGCCATTTTAACTGGGGTGAGATGATTATCTCACTGTAGTTTTGATTTGTGTTTCTCTGATGATTGCTCAAAATCAGAATTCTAATTGTAATTGAACTGTTAATGTTAAGACAAATTTTAAAACTCATAGTAAAGGGGATCATGTCACATTATGATTAGTAAGACATGAAGTGTTATTGGATTGGGGTCTTTTCCCATTAACTCTCTGGGTTTAAAAGTGTGATAGATTTTAGGCTCTGGAATTACTAGACTGATAGAGAATCAAATTCCAGCTCTGCCATTTCATATCTATAAAATCATTGGTAAATTACTTACATTCTGAAAGTCCTACATCTTTCATGTATAAAATGCATATATTTTCTATCTCACATGGTTGTTATGAAAATTAAGATGAGATAACATATTATGTAAGTGTACCCAGCATGGTACCTTGAACATTATAGATTCCTCAATAAAGATTAAAAGCAGAATTGTATAGTAGAAAATATGATAGTCTTGGAGTCCTAACATAACTGCTCTTTAATCTGAATATCTGTAATTCATAAACTGTTATCATGAATAAATTATTTAATCTTTGTTACTTTAGTTTTCTCATCTATTAAATGTGGAAAACAATAATATACTTCATATGGCTATTTGATGATTAAGTGGGAAAATGTGTAGTGAGTATTTAATAAAGCATTCATTCTCTTATCCCTTTTCTAAAAATCAAGCAGAATACAATATATGACTTTTTCTTTTAAAAACTGCTTATTTGTTATGCTATTTCAAAAACATTTAGCACTTGTGCATTCTGTGAGAAAAGGGAAAATTACAAAAAGTTCTTTAATAAGTAAAATGATAACAGGCAAAAACTTGTTTTTACTTGTTTGGGAAAGTATTACTACTTTAAGTGCATGGCAATAAAAAGGCAAAATTCTAAAGGTAGTTTATAGAGTAAATGATATTAAGATCTACATTAAACCCAAAGTACTAGGTAAATAAGACATTTTACTATTTTCTCAATAAGAATGCTTACTTCATTAAATAATTTGTATAATTAAGGCTTCATAATACATTTGTGGAATAAGTCCATATGGAACACACACACACACACACACACACACACACACTCCCTGTCTTCTCTCTTTCTCTCTCTCAAACTCACCACTAGAGAGATCTATTTAATATTATAAATAATGACACTGTCAATACTGTCAACTTTTCTTAACATACCATGAAATACTAATGAACAGTACAAGTGAGACCTTTGAATTAATCAGTTAGTTAAAAGTCTCCTGGGAGAGAGTTCACATTTGCTATGACACAATAAAATATGGTGACAAGAACAACTACTATTACTATTACAATTATTCTATTACTGCTCCTTTTAATAAAATAATGACTCCTACCTTTCATTGAACATTGTCTGTCTTGTAGTTTGCTAAATACTTTAAGTATATTATCTCATTTAATCTCTTTTAAGTCATTTTTTTTTTTTGAGGCAGAGTCTTGCTCTATCCCCCAGGCTGGAGTGCAGTGGTACAATCTCGGCTCACTGCAACCTCTGCCTCCCGGGTTCAAGTAATTCTCCTGCCTCAGCCTCCCGAGTAGCTGGGACTGCAGGTGGCTGCCACCGCGCCTGGATAATTTTTGTATTTTTAGTAGAGACAGGGTTTCTCCATGTGGGCCAGGCTGGTCTCGAACTCCTGACCTCAAGTGATCCACCCGCCTCGGCCTCCTAAAGTGCTGGGATTACAGGCATAAGCCACCGAGCTTGGCCTAAAACTACTCTTTATGGACTCCTATATTTCTGGGAGCTTTAGTTTTAGATGGATCTAAATATACAAAAATTTCAGAAATTTTATGTTTCACACATTTAAAAAGTAAACACCAAGCCATGAAAACATATGCAGTGGATGATTCTGATGTTTCTTACATAGAAAATAAGCAGAATACTTACTCTGTATCAGGTGACTTTCCATAAACAATAAGCTTCTTAACATTAGGAACACTACTAACTATATCATTAAAAATAAAAAAAGTACTTTGAAAACTTGGAAATATAATTCCTTACAATTTTTTCCTGATCTCACAAAATTTTAAGTATAAAGTATAATCTACAATGTCTTGGTAACACCAAAATTTGAATATCAGCATCTAAGTTCCATAACTCACAATTTCCCACGAAAATGGCCAATGGAATATGTAAAGAAGAAAAAACAACCCTTGTCATTACCAGAGACTCTGGAGTGGTATCTCCATACCAGAAAGAAACTTTGAGAGATTTCTGTTCTACATAGGTGAAGCTAGGCTGAAGGAAGGCACCAAGGACTTACTTTATGCTCTCCATCCTGATAAAGAAAAGTGGCATCAACAAATGAGGGAGGACCTTGCTATGGATTTTTTATGCAGGATTTCCCATATTAAAAAAAAGAAAAAAAATCTCTCTTGGAGATAAAATATCACTATATATTTATATTTGCAAACAGAAGCTCTAGAATAATGTTTTTAAAGTAATAAAAGTAAAAAGTTACCTAATTGTGGGTAGGGTAGATCAGCCAGTGAGAAATACAAATAAAGAGGAAACTTCTAACTAATATATAGTAATATATTTTATATATCTACATATTATATATAGATATACATTTTAAGTCAAGACTTCAAAGTTACATATTCAAACAAAATATTAATAAAAACAAAGAAAAGTGACCCCTGATCTCTCCTCATCCTCTTCAAAGAGCCTTTTCACTCACTTTTAACCCTATGCAATCTTACCTTCCCTATCCTAACTGTACTAAAACTCTTAAGTTTATATATAGAGTACATATTGAGAAACCCAATGAGTAGTTTTCAGTATCATTTCATTTTAAATAGAGATAAATTAACAGATCCAGAAATGTTTTTGAGGTAGAGTCCATAGGAACTAATAATGGATCAAATGTGAAATGTGAGAAAGAGGAGTAAAGAATTAATCTCTGCCTTCTGGTTTGACAAAGTGGGCAAATACCAGTGTCATTTACTGCACGTGGAGTAAAGAGAGTAACAAAAAGTGTGTGTGTGTATGGGTGTATATGCACCTGTCCTGAATTAGGGGTAATCATTAGTTCATTTATAGACATGTTAAATTTGAGATGCCTGAGAGACATCAGCTTGTAAAGTAGGCAGTGGGGTTTTTGAGGCTAGAGTTCAGGGTTTTGGAGATCTAAATTTGGGAGTAATTTGTATATAGATGTTGCTAAAAGTTATGAAAATGGTCAAATGGCACAAGCTTTCAGCTATAAGATGAATAAGTTCTAGAGACCTAATAATGTACAGGATGGTGACTATAGTTAATAATATTGTATTGTTTACTTGAAATTTGCTAAGACAGTAGATCTCAAGTGTTCTCACCACACATGCACAAAGGTAATTATGTGAGGTAATGGATATGTTAATTAGCTTGATTGTGGTTAAACATTTCACAATGTCTACATGTATCAAAACATCACACCGCATATCTTAAATACAATTTTTACTTGTCAAAAATATTACAGAAATGGAAGAACCAATCTAGGAAGAAAACATAGAGACAGAAGAGGAACCAGGACAAATGCTTTATGAACTACAACTTTAGAGAACAGATAGAGGAGAAGGCAGCAAAGGAGACTGAGAAGGCATGGGCAGAGTCAGGAGTAAAACAAGAACAGTATGTTATGGAAACTAAGACAGGAAATGGTTTCATAAAGAACAGTGTTTCGAACTTTACGGCACATTGCAATTAATGAACACTGGATGATATAGTTAATCAAATAAAATATTAAATAAAGCCATTAAATAGTTTTGTATAAAAGACATAAAAGTATGCACTTTTAAAGTCACTGTTGGTAGTAGGGTTTAGAACAAAATGTTAACTTTGTAAAGTTTATGGGACTAACAGTAAAATTTTAACATTGGTCAAAATATCCTCTAACCTGGATATACTCATAAAATGACTTCTATGCCACATCTTGCATTAAGTAAGTTAATTTAACAGGAAAATTTGGTTTTTATATTCAATGTGTTCCAAGTTAATGCTATAAATTAGGAAATGCAGTAATTGGTTTATTATCAATTCAATAATAATATATCAAAATGTCATGGTATTTTAAAATATTCAGTTAACAAAGACCCTATCTAAGCTTGCCAATGACACAGAAAAGCAGTGTAATAGCTGGTTAAAATAAATTTTGAATAAGAATCTTAAAGACATTTTAAGTACTTTTTAACACTCCCCAAATTCCTCATTATAATTACATGGCTTTTATTAAACTAGTAACAGCTTAGAAAAAATAAAAATCTTACTGCATTAGTAGATTTTTTTGTATAGCAATATACAATGTTTTCCACATGTTAATTTATCTTAAACAGGTTTGAGATTTTTATTCAGTCTTGATTATCCTTTTATATTTACCTTAACCTAGAAACACTTTTTTTTTCTGACAATGAAAATAATAGATGAAGATATTGACACTGATTAATTACATCTAAGAATTTTCTAAGGCATTTGGCTGATTTCTGGTTTTATTTCACAATCTTTAAAAAGAGCAGTGGCAACTTCTGGATTAAATGGAATAGAGTCCCATTAGAGGGAAGAGGCTCTGGGACCACAGTGAGCTGTATTATTATGCTAAGTCTTTAGGGTAGGAATTTTAGGAAAAATTGGATCAGTTGACAGGGAACTAATTAAGCGGGAAAAAAATGGACAGAAAGGAGATATAGCAAGGAAAATAAAAAAGCAAAGGGCAAAACTCCAAAATGCTGGCAGCCAGCTACTACATAGGGAGTAGAAGAGAACTAAGTATTTACTTTAAAAATTGGGCTGAGATGAAATACCATAAAGTCATAAAAAATGAAAATCAGCCGGGCACGGTGGCTCATGCCTGTAATCCCAGCACTTTGGGAGGCCGAGGCAGGCAGATCACGAGGTCAGGAGATTGAGGCCATCCTGGTTAACATGGTGAAACCTCGTCTCTATTAAACATACAAAAAATTAGCCGGGTGTGGTGGCACATGCCTGTAGTCCCAGCTACTCGGGAGGCTGAGGCAGGAGAATGGTGTGAACCCAGGAAGCGGAGCTTGGAGTGGGCTGAGATGGCACCACTGCACTCCATCCTGGGCAACAGAGCAAGACTCCGTCTCAAGAAAAAAAAAAAAGATAAAATCATGTTTTTTGCAGCAACATGGATGCAGCTGGAGGCCATTATCCTAAGTGAATTAATGCAGGAACAGAAAACCAAATAGCACATATTCTCATATTTAAGTGGGAGCTAAACACCTGGTACATATGGCTACAAAGATGGGAACAATAGACACTGAGAACTCCAAAAAAGGGGGAATGGAGAAAGAGGAGAAAGGGATAAAAAACTTCCTATTGGGTACTATGCTCACTACCTCAGCATCACATATCCCAAACCTCAGCATCATGCAATATACCAATGTAACCAACCTGCACATGCAGCACCTGAATCTAAAATAAAAGTTGAAATTTAAATGAATAAATAATGACATTTTAAAAATAGTGCTAAGTAAATTTTATCAATGCTGTAGACACATGTCCAAGAACTGTGTCTATATTAGGTGGCACTGCAATATTAAAAGCATCTGATGCAACTCAGGCTACTTATAACACTATAAACTGAGGTCTTTTGAGATAATTTGTATTTAATTACAAAATAAAGATATACTAAAGTTATCATCAAAAAATTTCAACATGATAAATAAAGTATAAAGAGAGATAATTCCACATATGTACTAAAGTTTGAGAGCAGCTATACACCATTAATTGGACTGAAAGAAATGATAAAAACATATCAAAAAAAGACATTTCCTATCAGACTAGGAAGCACTAAAAACACAGTAAGAATACATGTACAGTTGATTCTCATTATTTGCAGTAATTATGTTTTACAAAGTCACAATAAACACTGAATTAGCAAATACTGAACCATTGCTCCTAGGGGAAATATCGGGTTAAGTCTCCTTGAACCTCCGGTCATAACATTTTCTGGACCTTTCCTTTTCCATTTCTGTATCAAAACTTACCTGTGCCCATCTCCTCTAGATTTTGAAACTTTTAACTACTGATAAACTAATTCATACTGAAACGTTGCTGGCCATATTGAGTTATCTCCTTTGGGAATATCAAAACAGGATAACATAAGAATCATGAATACTGAGGTGTATGAGAGGACGGTGATGAGGTATATTTGGGTTAGCATCTTTTAAACAACAAACTTTAAATCACATAGGAAATACAGTAAAAACAAAAAGACTAGATTGGAAGGAAGGAGATCTTGATTCTAACATTGACTCAAATATTGTATATGGCACTTGGCAAGTCACCTGACCACTATGAACCTCAATTTGCTTCTCTGCAAAATGGAAGTGTTAAACTAGATCTTTAAGAGCTACCATGTCCAGCTTTTTAAGATTCTCATCTAAAAAACCTTAAGGTCAGCTATACTGAGAATAATGCATAAAACTAATTTGCTTGACTTGGAACTACCTTTTTAATACTTTTCAATTTTACTTCAATATGGACAGTTATCAGTAAAGAGTTTCCTTGGTTCTTCCAATATATGTGCCTTTATCCCAAATATCCAGAGAATCTGAGCTACTCTTCTGTAACCTCTCTGGAGACAGACTATCATAAACCACATACCATTATTCTCTCATATCATGTGTAGCCAACAATAATCTGCAACCCTCCTAGTAACCTCTTAAGACCAAAAACTTTAAGAAAAATAATTATCATAATTTAACAAAAACGATTTCATAGTTCTAGTTTAGACTAAATGCAAAATTATTTTATTCCAAAATTCTGACTTAAATAACATTTTGCCAGTTTGAGTATGGCTAGCACCAACAATTTCTAAAATAAATGATCCAAACTATCAAAATATTAACCAATTTATACTTGAACCAAAATGTCACTTATTTTGGTTTAAATGCCTAAATTGGGTTATATGTTATTCCTCTATTAGAACTGTAGACATCTCATCCAAAAAAAGTTAGTTATTTAAAATTTCTTCAAAGGAGAAAAAAGAACATGGCTTTCAATATCGATAACCTGAATTTTATTCACAAATTATAAATTGTCTAGTTCTCTGGCCATTGAGTTAGTACTAATGAGATCTTATTGTGGCATTATTACTTTTGTATTATATTAAGTGCAATGGGGAAAGATGATTTTGTAATTAGGTAGTACAGGAAAAGCTATAAACTGATTTCTCAATCTCGCTCATCTGATTCAGAAACGTATAAAACTCTTTTAATATCACATAGCCCTGAACCAACTGCAATCTTTAATATGGATTTACTACTTAGGGGAAAGTTGATTAAGATTATCCTTAATATGCTTATTTGATTTGTAGTGGTTTTACCAGTGAACATATGCTATAAAATAAACAAGAAATACATCATTTAATTATATAAAAACCAGAGTTCTATAATCTCCCAGTTAGGATTTAACGTAGGGTTCCTGACTCAGCCAACACAGCCATATCTCTAGAGTGGAAACAGGTATTAATTTTTAAAATATAGTTTAAGTTCTAGGATACACGTGCAGAACGTGCAGGTTTGTTACATAGGTATACATGTGCCATGGTGGTTTGCTTCACCCATCAACCTGCCATCTACATTAGGTATTTCTCCTAATGCTATACCTCCCCTAGCCCCCTACCCCCCAATAGGCCCTGGTGTGTGATGTTCCCCTCCCTGTATCCATGTGTTCTCATTGTACAACTCCCACTTATGAGTGAGAACAAGCGATGTTTAGTTTTCTGTTCTTGTGTTAGTTTGCTGAGGATTATGGTTTCCAGCTTCATCCACGATGAACTCATTCTTTTTTATGGTTGCATTGTATTCCATGGTGTATATGTGCCACATTTTCTTTATCCAGTCTATCATTGATGGACATTTGGGTCGGTTCCAAGTCTTTACTATTGTAAACAGTGCTGCAATAAACATATGTGTGCATGTGTCTTTATAGTAGAATGATTTATAATTCTTTGGGTATATACCTAGTAATGGGATTGCTGGGTCAAATGGTATTTCTGGCTCTAGATCCCTGAGGAATCACCACACTGTCTTCCACAATGGTTGAATTTACACTCCCACCAACAGTGTAAAAGCGTTCCTATTTCTCCACATCCTCTCCAGAATCTGTTATTTCCTGACTTTTCAATGATTGCCATTCTAACTGCTGTGAGATGGTATCTCATTCTGGTTTTGATTTGCATTTCTCTAATGACCAGTGATGATGAGCTTTTTTTCATATGTTTGTTGGCAGCATAAATGTTTACTTTTGAGAAGTGTTAGAAACAGGTATTAATCTTTACTTCTGTGTATTTGATCTAGTTGTTCTACCTATCTGGCAATACTTTCCTTCATCCCTTGACCTATCCAAATCTTTTAAGTCTTATCTCTTTCATGAAACCTTAAACGTTCTAGTCAACACTATTTTCTTCTACTTAGAGCCAGTGCTGCAAAGTTAACACAATGTTTTCCATGTGTTTAATGTACGTCAGTTTGATTTCTACAACTGCATAGTAACTTCCTTGAGGACAGAATTCACGTCTTACATTTCCTTCTTATATTGAGCTGTGAAATAACAGAATGTATCCAAAAATGTGCACTAATTGACTGGTTAGATTCAACAAAGGTAAGTCCTGACTATTATGACATTTGTACGATGATATTATATAAGAAACTATTCTCCAAAGAATATTTCCAAAAAAATAAAAAATAAACAAAACCATAGACAGCTTCACGCAAAAGGTAAACTCTTGGTTATAATAAAATATGTGTATTCTTTGTGAAGTGTCTGATCACAATTTTTCTATGATTACAAGCTTCACTATAGTTCCTTTTTATTCCATTTTAGAGAGGGTATTTTAAAACTTCTTTCTACATTTCCAAAAATTTTCTCCCATTCTGTAGGTTTCCTGTTCACTCTGATGGTAGTTTCTTTTGCTGTGCAGAAGCTCTTTAGTTTAATTAGATCCCATTTGTCAATTTTGGCTTTTGTTGCCATTGCTTTTGGTGTTTTAGACATGAAGTCCTTGCCCATGCCTATGTCCTGAATGGTATTGCCTAGGTTTTCTTCTAGGGTTTTTATGGTTTTAGGTCTAACATTGAAGTCTTTAATCCATCTTGAATTAATTTTTGTATAAGGTGTAAGGAAGGGATCCAGTTTCAGCTTTCTACATATGGCTAACCAGTTTTCCCAGCACCATTTATTAAATAGGGAATCCTTTCCCCATTTCCTGTTTTTGTCAGGTTTGTCAAAGATCAGATAGTTGAAGATATGTGACATTATTTCTGAGGGCTCTGTTCTGTTCCATTGGTCTATATCTCTGTTTTGGTACCAGTACCATGCTGTTTTAATTACTGTAGCCTTGTAGTATAGTTTGAAGTCAGGTAGCGTGATGCCTCCAGCGTTGTTCGTTTTGCTTAGAATTGACTTGGCAATGCAGGCTCTTTTTTAGTTCCATATGAACTTTAAAGTAGTTTTTTTCCAATTCTGTGAAGAAAGTCATTGGTAGCTTGATGGGGATGGCACTGAATCTATAAATTACCTTGGGCAGTATGGTCATTTTGACAATATTGATTCTTCCTACCCATGAGCATGGATTTGCAATCTACTCATCTGACAAAGGGCTAATATCCAGGATCTACAATGAACTCAAACAAATTTACAAGAAAAAAACACAACCCCATCAACAAGTGGGCAAAGGATATGAACAGATACTTCTCAAAAGAAGACATTTATGCGGCCAAAAAACACATGAAAAAATGCTCATCATCACTGGCCATCAGAGAAATGCAAATCAAAACCACAATGAGATACCATCTCACACCAGTTAGAATGGCGATCATTAAAAAGTCAGGAAACAACAGGTGCTGGAGAGGATGTGGAGAAATAGGAACACTTTTACACTGTTGGTGGGACTGTAAACTAGTTCAACCATTGTGGAAGTCAGTGTGGCGATTCCTCAGGGATCTAGAACTAGAAATACCATTTGACCCAGCCATCCCATTACTGGGTATATACCCAAAGGATTATAAATCATGCTGCTCTAAAGACACATGCACATGTATGTTTATTGCAGTGCTATTCACAATAGCAAAGATTTGGAACCAACCCAAATGTCCAACAATGATAGACTGGATTAAGAAAATGTGGCACATATACACCACAGAATACTATGCAGCCAGAAAAAATGATGAGTTCATGTCCTTTGTAGGGACATGGATGAAGCTGGAAACCATCATTCTCAGCAAACTATCTCAAGGACAAAAAACCAAACACCACATGTTCTCACTCCAAGGTGGGAATTGAACAACGAGAACACATGGACACAGGAAGGGGAACATCACACACCGGGGCCTGTTGTGGGGTGGGAGGAGCGGGGAGGGATAGCATTAGGAGATATACCTAATGTTAAATGAAGAGTTAATGGGTGCAGCACACCAACATGGCACATGTATACATGTGTAACAAACCTGCACGTTGTGCACATGTACCCTAAAACTTAAAGTATACTAAAAAATAAAAAAATAAAAAACTTCTTTCTACATTTCTATACTAAAATTCTTAATATATAATTAAAAATATTAATAAAACAGAACTTGCTTCCTTTAATACTTAACTATATTGGTATCGTAAGTTCTTTTCAAGATATTCACAATAAGAATCTTTTGCGTTAGGATAATACATTTCTCTTAAAAAGTAATCTAACAAGAAGGGTGTTCTAACTAATATATATTTAATAACTGTAAAATTATAAGATCAGTCAACTAACTTGTAATTACACCATTCATAAAGAGATCAGATTCATAAAATCAGGAACAATTTTACTAGCACCAAAATTGATCAGTTTTTCTCATTATTTGCCCAAAGACACCTATGGCTCATAAGAGACTATTTTACACTCGTCATTTTGTTTGAAGCTGATTCATGCTGTTACTGATACCAAAAGTAGCCAAAAGACTCTGTTATTTATATTGAATAGGCTACTCTCAACTTTAGATATATTCACTTAAGGAGAAAGATGATTTTAACAGACATTTTTGTCTGTTGTAAATAAACTAGGAGTTTCTCTTCTAAGCCTTCTATCTTTTCCAAATTTCTTACCCCTCAAACATTTGCATATTTCTCCAAATTACCGATATGTAACTGAATATGAAGACAGTTCTATCTCTGAATAAAAGGAATAGCTCTAATATAAAAAAGTAATAACAAAACCTCAAAATATTTAAAGTGGGACTGCCTTCCTAGATGGGGTCTCATCTCCATGGCTGCATCTTCTTGGCTTTGGCACTCACCAGGTGGCTCTGCCTTGGCCTCTGTGGCCCCATGAACTGCAGGTACTGGGAGTTCCACAGATAGGATACCGGGACACCCTAGAAGTTGGTAAATAAACAAGAGCCAAGAAGGTCAACTAGACCAGCTGGGAAGAGCTTCTCCTACCAAGAGAGACCACAGCATCAAGTAGACTGGCCCACTCCTAACGGATCTTTGGAAAGAATGTACTGAAAGTAGACAGAAAGAGGTTGCAGACCCCAGGCTGAAAAGGGAGGAAGCTGGGAACCCTACACAGGGTTGTGGAGCAACAGGAATCATTCCTGGCCCCCAGCAGCTCTAGAAAAGAGGTAAGTGAAAAGGGAATAGAATGGCTCACTATGGTCACAAACCTGCAGAATTCAAGCTGTAGGAGACCCAACGACCCCCACAGACATTTGAGCTGCCAGAGAAAATTGCCTGGAGAGTTGGCAGAGACATAATTCCAGCCTGTGCAGAGCCCAGAAGGTTTGGCCCAGGAACAGCTGCAGTGGAGCATGGCCATAGGCAACCATCTCCCAAGGCTTGCCATATTCCTTTAGGTGGCTTTATCCCTTGTTAGCTGCTGGACCTGGACAGAGCAGGGTTATCTTGGCCGTGGGACAGGGCCAGTCTAATCTCAGCACCCCTGTGGTCTGCTGGCCTCTCCCAGAGCCTCTGCCTGGCCATACCCACTTGCAAAACAGTCTCAGCTGCCCAGTCAAAGTGCGTGTCAGCAGTCACCATTACAGCTCTTTTGCCAGCAAAGCCCAGCTACCCATCAAAGTGCTTTTGCAGGCGGAACCCCACTAGAGCTCACTCACCCATGACTAGCTACTGCTCTGCCAGTAGAATTTGCCAGCAGCCCCTTTTGGAGTGTTATTGCCAGCTGACTGAAAACACCTCTGCCACTCTAGTGTAGCAGGTGCTTAACTTCAAGGGGCCAGAGAACAAAGCTGTGGTTCTGGTCAAAGCCCTCGGGGTTAGAACAAATGGCCCAGGTGTGCTGTGCTGAGCTGAGCACTTGCCCCCTGAAAGCATCCGGGAACAAAACTAATTGACTAAATGCAACTCATGTCACAATCAAACCCTGAAGGGCATCATGGAATAAAAGTAAAACGCCCCATCGAAAAGACAGCAACTTCAAACATTAAAAGAACATCCGCCCACACAGATGATTAAAAACAACAACAAACTAAAACAAAAACAAAAAACAGCGCAAGAACTCTGTCCACTCTAAAAGCCAGAGTGTTTTCCTTCCTCCAAACGAATGCAGTAGCTCCCCAGCAGTGGCTCTTAACCAGACTGAAATGGATGAAATGACAGGCATAGAATTCAGAATCTGGATAGCAAGGAAGCTCATTGACATACAGAAGGTTGAAACCCAATCCAAAAAATACAGTAAAACAGTCCAAGAATTGAAAGATAACATTGCCATTTTAAGAAAGAACCAAACTGAACTTCTGGAAAAGAAAAAATCACTATAGGAATTTCAGAAAGCATTGGAAACATTAATAACAGAATAGATTGAGCTGAGGAAAGAATTTCACAGCTTGAAGACCCCTCCTGTGAATCAATGCAGGTAGATAAAAATTTTAAAAAGTAGGAAATTGAACAAAATCCCCAAGAAATATGGGGTAAAGAGACCAAACCTATGATTCACTGGCCGTCCTGAAAGACATGGAGAGAGAGCAAACAACTTGGAAAACGTATCTGAGGATATTGTCCACAAAAATTTCTTCAACCTCACTAGAGAGATCAACATGCAAATTTAAAGAACCCCTGTGAGATACCATACAAGACGACTGTCCCCAAGACACATAGTCATTAGATTCTCCAAAGTCAATACAAAAGAAAAATTCTTGAAGGCAGGTAGGAAAAACTGACGGGTCACAGACACTTTTGTAAAGAAGACATACATGTGGCCAGCAAGCATATGAAAAAATGCTCAACATCACTAATCATAAGGAAAATGCAAATCAAAGCCACAATGAGATACCATTTCATACCAGACAGAATGGTAACTGTTCAAAAGTAAAAAAAAATAATAATAATAACACATTCTGCCAAAGCTGTGGAAACAAGGGAATGCTTGTACACTCCAGGTGGGAATGTAAATTAGTTCAGCCACTGTGAAAAGCAGTTTGGCAATGTCTCTAAGAATTTAAAGCAGATCTACCATTCAACCCAGCAATTCCAGTGTTGGGTGTATACCCAAAGGAATATACAATGTTCTACCATAAAGACACATGCATGCATATGTTCATTTTAGCAATATTCACAATAGCAAAGACATGGAATCAAACTCAATGACCATCAGTGGTAGACTGGATTAAAAAATGGGGTACACACACACCATGGAATACTATGCAGCCATAAAAAGAATGAGATCATCTCCTTTGCAGCAACATGGATGGAGCTAGAGGTAAGTATCCTAAGTAAGCTAACACAGGAAAATAAAAGCAAACACCACATGCTCTCACTTATAAGGGAGCTAAACATTGAGTACACATAGACACAAAGAAGGGCACAATAGACACCAGGGCCTAGATGAAGGTAGAGGATAGGAGGAGGGCGAAAATTTAAAAAAAACTACCTATAGGGTACTATGCTTATTGCCTGGGTGACAAAATAATATGTAAACCAAACTCCCATGAAACACAATTTATCTATTGAACAAACCTGCATATGTATCCCTGAAAGTAAAATAAAAGTTAAAAAATAAGATAATGAAAGAACAAGCCATAAACTGGGAGATAATATTTGCAAGTCACACATCTTACAAAGAACTTATAGCCAGAATATGCAAAGATATCTCAAAACTTAAGAATAAGACAAACCAATTAAAAAGTAAACAAGGGCTGCTGGCAAGATGGCAGAATAGGAACAGCTCCAGTCTGCAGCTTCCAGGGAGACCAATGCAGAAGGCAGGTGATTTCTGCATTTCCAACTGAGGTAGCCTGTTCATCTCATTGGGACTGGTTAGGCAGTGGGTGCAGCCCACGGAGGGTAAGCAGAAGCAGGGTGGGCTGTTGACTCACCCAGGAAGTGCAATGAGTTGGGGGCCTCCCTCCCCCAGCCAAGGGAAGCCATGAGAGACTGCGCTATCCGGCCCAGATACTACACTTTTCCTATGGTTTTTCCAGTCCACAGACCAGGAAATTCCTTCGTGTGCCTCTACCATCAGAGCCCTGGGTTTCAAGGACAAAACTGGGCAGCTGTTCAGGCAGACACTAAGCTAGCTGCAGGAGTTTTTTTTTTTTTTTTTTTTTTTTTTGTTTGTTTGCTTCGTACTCCAGCGGCACCTGGAACCCCATAGAGACAGAAGCATTCATTCCCCTGGAAAGGGGGCTGAAGCCAGGGAGCCACGTGGTCTCGTTCAATAGGTCCCACTCCCAAAGAGCCCAGCAAGCTAAGAACCACTGGCTTGAAATTCTTGTTGCCAGCAAAGCAGTCTGAAGTCCACCTGGAACAACGGAGCTTGGTGGGGGGAAGGCCATCCACCATTACTGAGGCTTGAGTAGGTGGTTTTCCCCCGACAGCGCTAAAAAGGCCTGCAAGTTCGCACTGGGCAGAACTCAACAAAGCGTGGCAAAGCGGCTATGGCCAGATTGCCTCTCTAGATTCCTCTTCACTGGGCAGGGCATCTCTGAAAGAAAGGCAGCAGCCTGTCAGTGGCTTATAGATAAAACTCCCATCTCACTGGGACAGAGCACCTGGAGGAAGCGGGGGCTGTGGGCGTAACTTCAGCAGACTTAAACATTCCTGCCTGCCAGCTCTGAAGAAAGCAGCAGATCCAGAAAAGGAGGATTCTACCATTATAGCACTCCAGCTCTGCTAAGGGGCAGACTGCCTCCTCAAGTGGGTCCCTGACCCTCATGCCTCCTGACTGGGAGAATACCTCCCAACAAGGGTTGATAGATACCTCATACAGGAGAGCTCTGGCTGGTATCAGGCTGGTGCCCCTCTGGGACGAAGCTTCCAGAGAAAGGAACAGGCCACAGTCTTTGCTGTTCTGCAGCCTCCACTAGTGATACCCAAGCAAATAGGGTCTAGAGTAGACCTCCAGCAAACTGCAGCAGAGCTGCAGAAGAGGGGCCTGTCAGAAGAAAAACTAACAAACAGAAAGCAATAACATCAACATCAACAAAAAGAACCCCCACACAGAAACCTCATCCAAGGTCATCAACCTCAAAGATCAAAGGTAGATAAATCCACGAACACGAGGAAAAACCAGCACAAAAAGACTGAAAATTCCAAAAACCGGAACGCCTCCTCTCCTCCAAATGATCATAACTCCTCTCCAGCAAGGGCGCAAAACTGGACAGAGAATGAGTTTGATGAGTTGACAGAAGTAGGCTTCAGAAGTTGGGTAATAACAAACCCCTTTGAGCTAAAGGAGCATGTTCTAACTGAATGCAAGGAAGCTAAGAACCCTGACAAAGGTGACAGGAACTGCTAACTAGAATAACCAGTTTAGAGAAGAAAATAAATGATCTGATGGAGCTGAAAAACACAGCACAAGAACTTCGTGAAGCATACACAAGTATCAACAGCCGAATCAATCAAGCAGAAGAAAGAATATCAGAGACTGAAGATCAACTTACTGAAATGAGGAGTGAAGACAAGATTTGAGAAAAAAAAAACATTGAAACGGAATGAACAAAGCCTCCAAGAAATATGGGACTATGTAAAAAGACCAAACCTACGATTGATTGGGGTCCCTGAAAGTGATAGGGAGAATTGAACCAAGTTGAAAAACACACTTCAGGATATTAACTAGGAGAACTTCCCCAACCTAGCAAGACAGGCCGACATTCAAATTCAGGAAATATAGAGAACACCACTAAGATACTCCTTGAGAAGAGCAACCCCAAGACACATAATCGTCAGATTCTCCAAGGTTGAAATGAAGGAAAAAATGTTAACGGCAGCCAGAAAGAAAGGTCAGGTTACCTACAAAGGTACGCCCATCAGACTAACAGCGTATCTCTCTGCAGAAACGCTACAAACTAGAAGAGAATGGAGGCCAATGTTCAACATTCTTAAAGAATTTTCAACCCAGAATTTAATATCCAGCCAAACTAAGTTTCATAACTGAAGGAGAAATAAAATCCTTTGCAGACAGCAAATACTGAGGGATTTTGTCACCACCAGACTTGACATACAAGAGCTCCTGAAGGAAGCACTAAATACGGAAAGGAAAAACCAGTACCAGCAACTGCAAAAACAAGCCAAAATATAAAGACCAATGACACTATGAAGAAACTGCATCAACTAATGTGCAAAATAATCAGCTAGCATCATGATGACAGGATCGAATTCACAAATAACAATATTAACCTTAAATGTAAATGGACTAAATGACCCAATTAAAAGACACAAACTGCCAAATTGGATAAAGAGACAAGACCCATCGGTGTGCTATATTCAGGAGACCCATCTCACGTGCAAAGACACAGATAGGCTCAAAATAAGGGGATGGGGGAATATTTATCAAGCAAATGGAAAGCAAAAAAAAGCAGTGGTGGCAATACTAGCCTGTGATAAAAAAGACTTTAAACCAACAAAGATAAAAAAAAGACAAAGAAGGGCATTATGTAATGGAAAAGGGGTCAATGCAACAAGAAAAGCTAACTAACCTAAATAAATATGCACCCAAAAGAGGAACAACTGGATTCATAAAACAAGTTCTTAGAGAACTACAAAGAGACTTAGACTCCCACACAATAATAGTGGGAGACTTTAACGCCCCACTGTCAATATTAGGCAGATCAACAAGACAGAAAATTAACAAGGATATTCAAGACTTGAACTCAGCTCTGGACCAAGCAGACCTAGTAGACATCTACAGAACTCTCCACCCCAAATCAACAGAATATACATTCTTCTCAGAAGCACATAGCACTTATTCTAAAATCGTCCACATAATTGGAAGTAAAACACTCCTCAGCAAATGCAAAAGAACAGAAATCATAACAGCCTCTCAGACCACAGTGCAATCAAATTAGAACTCAGGATTAAGAAACTCACTCAAAACTGCACAACTACATGGAAACTGAACAACCTGTTCCTGAATGACTATAGGGTAAATAATGAAATTAAGGCAAAAATAATGAAGTTCTTTGAAACCAACGAGAACAAAGAGACAATGTACCTGAATCTCTGGGACACAGGTAAAGCAGTGTTTAGAGGGAAATTTAAAGTACTAAATGCCCACATCAGAAAGCAGGAAAGATCTAATATCGACACCCTAACATCACAATTAAAAGAACTAGAGAAGCAAGAGCAAACAAATTTAAAAGCTAGCAGAAGACAAGAAATAGCTAAGATTAGAGCAGAACTGAAGGAGATAGAGACACGAGAAACCCTTCAAAAAATCAATGATTCCAGGAGCTTGTTTTTTTTTAAAAGATTAACAAAATAGACCACTAGCCAGACTAGAAGAAAAGAGAGAAGAATCAAACAGACACAATAAAAAATTATAAAGGGGAAACACCATTGATCCCACAGTAATACAAACTACCATCAGATAATACTATACACACCTCTATGCAAATAAACTAGAAAATCTAGAAGCAATGGATAAATTCTTGAACACATACACCATCCCAAGACTAAACCAGGAAGAAGTCGAATCCCTGAATAGACCAATAACAAGTTCTGTAATTGAGGCAGTAATTAACAGACTACCAACCAAAAAAAGCCCAGGACCAGACAGAATAACAGCCGAATTCTACCAGAGGTACAAAGAGGAGCTGGTACCATTCCTTCTGAAACTATTCCAAACAATAGAAAAAGAGGGACTCCCCGCTAACTCATTTTATGAGGCCAGCATCATCCTGATTCCAAAATCTGGTAGAGACAAAACAACAAAAAAATTTCAAGACAGTATCGTTGATGAACATAGATGTGAAAATCCTCAATAAAATATTGGCAAACCGAATCCAGCCGCACATCAAAAAGCTTATCCATCACAATCAAGATGGCTTCATCCCTGGGATTCAAGGCTGATTCAACATACATAAATCAATAAAAGTAATCTAACACATAAACAGAACCAATGACAAAAACCACGTGATTATCTCAATAGATGCAGAAAAGGACTTCAATAAAATTCAACACCCCTTCATGTTAAAAACTCTAAGTAAACTTGGTATTGATGGAACATATCTCAAAATAATAAGAGCTATTTCTAACGAACCCACAGCAAATATCATACTGAATGGGCAAAAGCTGGAAGCATTCACTTTGAAAACCGGCACAAGACAAGGATGCCCTCTCTCACCACTCCCATTCAACATAGCATTGGAAGTTCTGGCCAGAGCAATCATGCAAGAGAAAGAAATAAAGGGCATTCAAATAGGAAGAGGGGAAGTCAAATTGTCTTGGTTTGCAGATGACGTGATTTTATATTTAGAAAACCCCACCGTCTCAGCCCAAAATATCCTTAAGCTGATAAACAACTGCAGCAAAGTCTCAGGATACAAAATCAATGGGCAAAAATCATAAGCATTCCTATACACCACAAACAGAGAGCCAAATCATGAGTGAACTCCCATTCACAATTGCTACCAAGAGAATAAAATACCTAGGAATCCAACTTACAAGGGATGTGAAAGACCTCTTCAAGGAGAACTATAAACCACTGCTCAAGGAAATAAGAGAGGACACAAACAAATGGAAAAACATTCCATGCTCATGGATAGGAAGAATCAATATCGTGAAAATGGCCATACTGACCAAAGTAATTTACAGATTCAAGGGTATCCCCATCAAGCTACGATTGACTTTCTTCACAGAATTAGAAAAAACTACTTTAAATTTCATATGGAACCAAAAAAGAGCCAAGACCATCTTAAGCAAAAAGAGCAACGCTATAGGCATCATGCTACCTGACTTCAAACTATACAAGGCTACAGTAACCAAAACAAAAACAGCATGATACTGGTGCCAAAACAGATATATAGACCAACAGAATAGAACAGAGGCCTCAGAAATAACACCACACATCTACAACCATGTTATCTTCAACAAATCTGAGAAAAACAAGCAATGGGGAAAGGATTCCCTATTTAATAAATGGTGCTGGGAAAACTGGCTAGCCACATGCAGAAAACAGAAACCAGACCCCTTCCTTACACACTACACAAATATTAACTCAAGATGTGTTAAAGACTTAAATGTAAAACCTGAAACTATAAAAACCATAGAAGAAAACCTAGGAGATACCATTCAGGACGTAGGCATGGGCAAAGACTTCATGACTAAAACACCTAAAGCAATTGCAACAAAAGCCAAAACTGACAAATGAGATCTAATTAAACTAAAGAGCTTCTGCTCAGCAAAAGAAACTATCATCTGTGTGAACAGGCAACCTACAGAATGGGAGAAAATTTTTGCAATCTATCCATCTGACAAACGTTTAACATCCAGAGTCTACAAGGAACTTAAACAAATTTACAGGAAAAAAACCAAACAACCCCATCAAAAAGTGGGCAAAGGATATGAACAGACATTTCTCAAGACATTTATGTGGCTAACAAACATAAAAAAAGCTCATCATCACTGGTTATTAGAGAAATACAAATCAAAACCACAATGAGATAACATCTCACACCAGTTAGAATGGCCATCATTAAAAAGTCTGGAAACAACAGATGCTGGTTAAGGATGTGGAGAAATAGGAATGCTTTTACACTGTTGGTGGGAGTGTAAATTAGTTCAACCATTGTGGAAGAAAGTGTGGCAATTCCTCAAGGATCTAGAACCAGGAATACCATTTGACCCAGCAATACCATTACTGGGTATATACCCACAGGATTATAAATCATTCTACTATAAAGAAACATGCACACATATGTTTATTGCAGCAATATTTACAATAGCAAAGACTTGGAACCAACCCAAATGCCCATCAATGATATACTGGATAAAGAAAATGTGGCCCATATACACTACGGAATACTATGCAGCCATAAAAAAGAATGAGTTCATGTCCTTTGCAAGGCCATGGATGAAGCTGGAAACCATCATCCTCGCAAACTAACACAGGAAGAGAAAACCAAACACCTCATGTTCTCACTCATAAGTGGGAGCCAAACAATGAGAACACATAGACACAGGGAGGGGAACATCACACACCAGGGCCTGTCCAGGGCTGGGGGGAAAGGGGAGGGAGAGCATTAGGACAAATACCTAATGCATGCGGGGCTGAAAACCGAGATGATGAGTTGATAGGTGCAGGAAACCACCATGGCACATGTATACCTATATAACAAACCTGTACATTCAGCACATGTATCCCAGAACTTAAAGTAAAAAACAAAAAAATAAACAAAATAATCAACAGACACTTGACTAAACATGATATAAATATGACAAGCACATTAAAGCTGCGCACTATCATGAGCCTTTAGATAAATGCAAATAAAAAACATGATGAGATACAAGCACATACCTATAAGAATATCTAAAATAAAAGATAATGACAATACTCAGTGCCAGTGAAGGTATGTGACAACTAGAACTCTTGTATAGTGCTGGTAAGAATGCAAGATGGTATCACAACTCCAGAAAACAGTTTTGAAGTTTCTTATAAAGTTAAGCACGCTTATCACATGCCCCGGCAATCTCACACCTGGCTGTTGGTATATCAATATACACAGCAGTTATATTTGTAAATATCCCAAAGATATTTGGGAATAACCGAAATATCTTTCAGCAGGTGTATGGACAAACAAACTTGGTACATTCATATAATGGGATACTACTCAGTAATAAAAAAGAATACACTTTTTATACAGTGAACCACTTATAGATGAATCCCAAAGGCATTATGCTGAGTTAAAGAAGCCAGTCACATAACATTACATGCTGTATGATTCCATTTAAATGACAATTCTTGAAGGTTTATAACTGTTCAGTGATTACCAGGGTCAGTCAAATGAAGAATATGACTATAACAGATCTATACACAGGGTTATTAAATAGACAAGAATAGGAATGAAAAATGTAGGAGTTACTTCTCAATAACTGGGGAGGGAGGACGTAAAAAGGCAAGGAAGACACTGGATTAGGACAAAATGGTCTTTCTTCAGTTTGGTCATGGTGAAAGCCAGAGTGACAAGAGAATTAGAGCAAGGGCAAAAGGGACCCTTATGGAAACCCTGCAGATTACCATTGTAAGCTCTAACCAGGCAACTCTGGCAATAGAAAGAAAAGAGGAGAAGCTAAGCTGGCTAAAGAGAGAGCCAAGATTTGCTACAGAGAGGGCTTGAAGACAAAATGATAAATGGATATCCTAGTTTCTATTGCTCCAGAGAATATGCAGGAAAAACGGAATCCTTCTATCAACAATCACTCATATGTTTGGAAAATTAAAGTGGGACAAGTAAGGCAGGGATGCTAACAGGGTAATCCCTGGGAGCACCTTTCCCACTTTATCACAGTGATGATATGCTAGGTAGACTCCTCATCATGTTGCAACTTCTCACCTCCAATATGCACCTGGATTGTGACCCCAGGTGATGAAGAAAGATGTCTCAGGTCAAATAGTCTGCACTCCAAAAGGAATTTGCCAGTTACAAGACCTACTGGAATGTTTGGTGGATCTTTCAAGATCCCCTTAGGAATTAAGTTCTAAGGAAGATGAAGAGGTGAGGACAAAGGGGAAATGGTCTGGCATTTTACAAAGGGACTCTCAAGCGAAACTGGAAGGAATCTCTGGAATCTCTGATGATACATGGATATAGGGATATAGGATATATAGGGATATAGGATATAGCAAGAAAAACTAGACATATGACAAAGAACTATATAAAGGTGTAAGGGGAGGTAACAAGAATAAAAAACGTTCCAACTTTTCTGACCATTCTTTGAGGAAGCAGCTAGTTTCTTAAACTGTCACTATTTCTGAGTACTAGTACTCATTATAAATAAACATTATTTTATTGAGAGTAATTCTGTTTTTAAAAGTGAGTGTTCTTTATTCTTTCTATGTTTATAGGTAAAGACCTAGATCTTCTAAGTATAAGAGCACATATAAGAGGTACTGACATTGAGTTTGTGCTATGAATGAAAAGCACTGGAAACTAACATGGGTTAAAATTAGTGTTCACAGGCTTCAAAGTATCTAAATTAATCTTTTGCTTGGGAAGGGGTCTCTTAAGCAAACAGGTAATAATATTTAATTGAGAATATAACATTTCTATTCTTAATATTATTTAAGAAATTGTTTATTGAAACTTCTTTTTGAAATGTGTGCTTAACCTAGAAGAGTGCTACTCATGGAACATTACTAAGCACTACCACTTCTGCTATGATCCATGAATATCAAAGTTATTGAAGTTCAATAACCTTGTGACAATTGAACTAAAGTATTATCAGGAAAAAAGAAGACACATATATGATCAACAAGCATAAGAAAAAAATGCTCATCTTCATTAATCATCAGAGAAATGCAAATCAAAACCATAAGATATACCATCTCACGCCAGTCAGTATGGCTATTATTAAAAAAAAAACAAAAAATAACAGATGTTGGTGAGTTTGCAGAGAAAAGGGAATGCTTACATACTGCTGGTGGGAATGTAAATTAGTTCAGCCACTGTGGAAAGCAGTTTAGAGATTTCTCAAAAAACTTTAACACAGAACTACCATTTGACCCAGCAATCTTATCACTGGGTATACACCCAAAGAAATATAAATTGTTCTACCAAAATGACCCATGCACTCATATGTTAACTACAACACTATTCACAATAGCAAAGAGATGGAATCAACTCAGGTACCCATCAACGGCGGACTAGATAAAGAAAATGTGGTACATATACACCATGGAATGTTACACAGCCATAAGAAAGAATAAAATCATGTCATTTGCAGCAACATAGATGCATCTTGAGGCCATTATCCTAAGGGAATTAATTCAGGAAAAGAAAACCAAATACCACATGTTCTCACTCATAAGTGGGAACTAAACCTTGAGTACCCATTGATTCAGAGGGGAAAAACCGACACCAGGGCCTACTTGAGGGAGGAGGGTGGAAGGAGACTGAGATTCAAAAAAGTACCTATTGGGTACTATGTTCACTCTACCAGGTAACAAAATAATTTGTATACCAAACCCCAGCAACTTGCTATTTACCCATGTAACAAATCTGCACATGTAACCCCTGAACCTAAAATAAAAGGTGACTAATTAAAAAAATAAACCATTAAAAGTATACAAAGTTTAAACTATTTGCAAGGAGTTCTGTTGGTTCCAGGTGTCCAAAGTCATATAAGAAATAAAATGGGCCAGGCGCGGTGGCTCATGCCTGTAATCCCAGCACTTTGGGAAGCTGAGGTGGGCAGATCACCTGAGGTCGGGAGTTCAAGACCAGCATGACCAACATGGAGAAACCCTGTCTCTACTAAAAATACAAAAAAATCAGCTGGGTGTGGTGGTGCATGCCTGTAATCCCAGCTACTCGGGAGGTTGAGGCAGGAGAATCGCTTAAACCCAGGAGGCGGAGGTTGCGGTGAGCCGAGATCGTGCCATTGCACTCCAGCCAGGGCGACAAGAGTGAAATTCCATCTCAGACAAAAAAAAAAAAAAAAAAAGAAATAAAATGACCTGGTCCTAAAGAAAGTTATAAACTAATTAAAGAAATAAGGCACACATATTAAAATATAATAACAATTTATGTTTTAACCAAAGTTGTTTACTAGGGGATGCCACAGTGACTGCACCACTCTGAATGTTCAATACCAAATTTGTAGATGGCACCTTGTCAGAAGTTAATAGGTTTCTAGCAAATATCAAGAAACATGTAATATCTGAGCATTAATGCACTCCTGTACCTGGTATGAGCTGCATTTGTATAATATGAGACTATTAACTAAATCTTCATCTTAATTGTACTGCAGTCTGTGAATTCCTGTAGATCCTATTCTGGGTGTAAAGTATAGAAAATAGGTTGAACTAGAGTTTCCTTTATAAAGTTGACTTAAAAGTATCCAGAGAGTTGTAATGAGGATGAATATGGTAATTTGTAAAAAAAAAAATAAAGATAGACTAATAAGAAAGGAGAAACTAACAGAAAAAAATGCTAGTGGTTTAAACAAAAGACAGACAAAAGCAGAAATCATATAATAGAGAATATGCTTGCCAAACACATGTACATAATGTTTTCTCTCTCTCCAAATTTGAACAACTGCTTATTGAAATCATACATTATTTATTAACATAATTGTCAAAGAGAATTTTCAAGATACTCTTTTCTACCTTGTTCATAAATACATCTTGAATTATGGGTTGTCTAAAAGCTAAAATAAAAAATGAAAGGGTTAATTCACACTAATCTGATGTATGGTCTTTAACAAGTTAAATAATCCCTCATTATTCCTCCAATTTAAAAATTTATTTCTCTCTAACCTTTTTATCTTACCTCCAGCTAGTGAAACTCCAGTTAGATAGATGAGAAGTGTTAGATAATTTCTTTTCACAAATAATCTGAATAAAAAAGAAATAGAAAGTTATTAATTTCTATATAGTCTGGATCATTGCCTCATTCTCATTAAGCCTCAGTTTAGGACCTGACTTAGAAATGGGACAGTTGAGCTCAGTTACCATAGACTCTCACTGTTTTATTTTCAGGCAGCTTAGACACACAATCATTTATGAAACAAAATTGTATGGTTTTTGGGCCAAATATGGAATTTGAGACGTGTTGTAGTGAAAGTGAACATCTTAATGTAAAGTTCTATGAAAAGTCTGATAAGTATCATTTGAGTAAGTTGCTGTCATCTAAGGCCAAGGGTACCCATGAGATTGACTTATAGTTCTTATAGTTCCTTTTTTTAAAATAAATTCTTATTTTGAATTTACCTTTTAATTGAATGTCTCTTTTATTCTAGTTACATGGTAGGTTAAATGATATGTATTTTTTCTCTATATATCTTCATATGCCTTACCCAATACACATTTTAAGAAAAGAATTATGGCCGGGCGCGGTGGCTCACGCCTGTAGTCCCAGCACTTTGGGAGGCCGAGGCGGGCGGATCACGAGGTCAGGAGATCGAGACCATCCTGGCTAACACGGTGAAACCCCGTCTCTACTAAAAATACAAAAAATTAGCCGGGCGTGGTAGCGGGCGCCTGTAGTCCCAGCTACTCGGGAGGCTGAGGCAGGAGAATGGCGTGAACCCGGGAGGCGGAGCTTGCAGTGAGCCGAGATCGCGCCACTGCACTCCAGCCTGGGCGACAGAGCGAGACTCCGTCTCAAAAAAAAAAAAAAAAAAAGAAAAGAATTATTTTCAGTATACCTCAGCTACAACTGACAAACAATGGTTTTTACAATTCTGAGGTTTAGAGAGGATGAAAGCATACTACCAACCTAGATCAGAGCTAGCTATGCAAATCAGATAGGAATTTAACCTGATATGCTTTATGGACTTTTGCCTTATACACTGATCTTGTCCTGTAAATAGTATTTCCTTTTGACTGAACAAGAACATAATAAAAGCCATTTTGGATCAGACCCATAGTCTATCCAGCTCAGTATTCTGTTTCTGATAATGTCAGATGAGCAATGCTGAGCACACAGTAGGCAATCAATATTTCATTGAACTGTTTTTGAAATAAGCAGTCATGTCTGACTTTTAAGGCACAAATCCCATATAA